>NW_013171814.1:300000-407387 GCF_000001405.40 Homo sapiens | reverse complement strand
GAATTCTCATTTCATCTTCATTAGGACACGCTGCAAAAATGGAGGCTTTGAGAGGTGAAATGACTGGCTCAAGGTCACACAGTGAGATAGTAAGTGGTTAGGGAGATCAGGATCTGACTCCGGGCTGAGTGGTTCTTCCTGCTTGGTCCACGCCCTGTTGAGATGTTTATTTGGTAGGATCCTGTGTGGCTCCAGTCCCACAACTCCCTGAAATGGAGAGAAGGTGGGAGGGTGGTCCGCCACGTTTCCTCCTGACCACTTGCGCAAGGCCTCTGGATTTGGGAGGCAGAAGCTGTGGCTTCTGGAGGAAGGAGAGGCTGGAACAGGGGTGGAGGTGTGTGGGTTCTGGCAGCATGGCTGATTCCGGGTGGTGGGGAAAGAGGAGTGCTTAGGAGGAGTCTGGCATTTGCTGGTTTCTGACACTTCCCTCTTTTTGCCGGCAAGCCCGTCACCCACAGTCATCTCCTGAGCACCTTCAATGTGCCGCAGCGGGCACGGAGGTAACGTGGACCTGGACGGTGCCTGTGAGTGATGCTGGGGGACAAGACGCCACACCTGAGATGATCAGCAACAGAGCAGGCAGAAGAAAAGGCGAGGACCCAGGAGGAGGCCTGGTCTTGGGGCCACAGGTGCTTGCAGAGGAGGTGGGACTTTCAGCTCAGATGGCATTGAGATTAGCAGAGTAGGGGGAGAAGGTACCCCATTGGAAGGAAGTTTTCCTGCCTCTTGGTACTCCTTCCTTTCAGTTTGCCCCTTAAATTTCAGGGTATCTTATATAATTCGATCTCAGGCTCTGCTCAGGCTACACCCTCTCCCTGGATGACAGCATCACTCTGGTGGTTCTGTCTCCCTCAGACCTGTAGATGCCTCAGCTGTCCCAACCAGAAACCTGGATTCCCCATCCTTGCCCCTGTCCCCCATAATGAAAAAAAACAAATTCCCTCCATCCTGTTTCACCCGATCAATAATTATAAAATGCAAATATCTCTCTCAGAGTTCTGTTTTCTCTACCCCCACTAGCATGACTTATTTCAGGGCCTGTAAGTTTTCCCTGGGTCTCCCTTACCTCTGGTGAAAGTAGCCCTTCAGCATCCACCTCTGCCAACCTCTCCCCTGAGTCCCCAGCCCTCCACGCACAGAAACCTTTTGTTCCAGGCATGCAGGGGGATGCACTGTGCTGCAGGCCCGCCGTGCTCATGCGCTTCTGCAGCAAGTGCTTTGCAGCCACTTCAATTAGCTATCTCCTCCTTATCCTTTGGGATGTGATGCAGGCAACACTTCCTCCAAGAAGCCTCCTCCCTTTAAAAAATTTCTGTCTGGGCGGGCGCGGTGGCTCACGTCTGTAATCCCAGCACTTTGGGTGGCTGAGGCGGGCGGATCACCTGAGGTCAGGAGTTCGAGACCATCCTGGCCAACACGGTGAAACCCCCGTGTCTACTAAAAATACAAAATTAGCCTGGCATGGTGGTCGGCGTCTGTAATCCCAGCTACTTGGGAGGCTGAGGCAGGAGAATCACTTGAACCCGGGAGGCGGAGGTTGTGGTGAGCCAAGATTACGCAATTGCACTCCAGCCTGGGCGACAAGAGTGAAACTTTGTCTCAAAAAAAAAAAAAAATTTGTCCTGAAGAATGTTCAATAGTGTAAGATTCTCTCTTCTGCTGAACTATAAGCTCTTGGCACCCTGGGGTCTCAACTGGAGTCTCAGTTAGGATTCACTGCCCTGACAATTCCTGGTGTGGTACTCAGACAGGACTTGTCTCATGAACGAGGCATATTTGTGGGCTTAGCTTGGGCTGGGAATAATTGTCATCATCTTCATCATCAAGAGGCAACACTGAGTATGTCCTGACTCTGTGCTAGGCAGTGTTCTAAGCACTTTACACTGGGATTGTCCCATATGATCCTCACAGCCACTCTGCGAGTGGATACCATGATCATCACTCCCATTCTACAGATAAATAGGTTCAAAGAATTGCCCACAGTCTCCCAGCTGTTAAGCGATAGCATCAGATTTCATCACTTCTGTGTTATCTAATCTCTCTGGGCAGGCCTGGCTCAAGGAGTTGGGTATATGTTTTTTCTAAAACAAGTTCTGGTTTGGAAGGACCAAGCTGATCTGACTGCTGAGCAACAGAAACAACACCTGCCATTTGTACTTGTCAGTGCATACCAAGGGTCATGCTGCCTGTGCCCCCACGCCGCAGAGGACGTGGGCAGGCCTTCCCTGATTCAGGAAGGGCCTGACCCTCCAATGGGTGAGTGATTTGCCCGGGACCACCTATGCACAGCCTGTGATGGAAGCTGGATTTGCACCCAAACCTATAGCAAGCGATGACTTCTCGCTGGGTCTATTAAGCTCCCAACACTCAGCAGCCTGCAAAGGACCTGTTTGTCAGCTCAGCCGGTGTGCCCTCAATGAGCAACTCCTGATTGTCCCTGAGGGTGTGCTGGGGGCAGGCAAGGTGGGGGCCTGATGTGAAATAGGATGTGGCTCACAGTCACCGGTTTGGGGGTCAGACAGATCTGGGTTTGAGCACTCACTTGGGCAAGTCACAACCTCTCTGAACCTCAATTTCCAAAGCACAAAGTGTGTATTATACTTTCATGAGGCTAAAATCGGGACTGGGGAGAAAATTCATGTGAAGAGCTGACCATATGCTAATTAGGTTGAACCACGTGGGATTGCTAATATCTGATCATGTTGACCCACAATAATGGCAATTTCAGATACTTTATGAGATACTTAATCCAAGGCAGCCAGCCGTAATCAGGGGTCCCCACCCTTCTTTTCATCCCGCAGCTGCAGTCAGAGGCTGGTGGTGCCCTCTGGGTGGTGGATTTTGCAGCAAGTGAGAGAAGACAGTTGGAAAGCCAGTCCATGGATAGTAGGGGGGTGGCCAATATTGAGGCGATTCCTTCCTGCTCAAAATGTCATCCAACTGCTGAGTCCAGGCCAGGGCAGGAAGCAAAGACCACCAGCAGCCAGGGCTGCAGGGTTGGGGTGTCCTGGCCTCAGGAGGAGGGGTGCGTGGGCCCAGGCTGCCACCCTTGGAGCCAGGAGCAGCCCGCACAGTCCCTGGTTTCCTGGCGGCTCTCAAGCAGGAGGCCCGAGCTGCTAGCTCAGCAGTTTTCCCTCAGCCAGAAGAACCCCGCTCTCTTTCTGAAAGTAATGATTTTCTAAAAATGGATTCCCTCCCCTCCCCCAGCTGCAATTAATCTACCCAACACAAAGTGGCCGCTGGAGGAGGACTCTGGTGAGTTGGGACTAGTGCAAGTGCTTTGATTAATTCAGGGACAATTTCCTGGCTGGGCTGGGGGTGAGAGGCTGGGCAGGGACGCGCTGCCTGGGTCGGGGGTGGCCCACTGCAGGGTCCATTTAAACAGCTATGAGAGCCACGGAGACCTGGGAGAGCTGGGAGCCTCTTCCTAGGGAGCCTGTGCCCGCCTTCCTGGGGATTTGAGAGGCAGAGTCTGCCATGGACATGTGCCCAGGTGCCAGGGGAAGCTCTTGCTAAGCCTGGAGCTGCCTGGAGCTGCCATTTTAGTGGAAGCTTAGGGGGAGAAGGAATACAATTGTTTCTACCATAAGCCCTTATATCTTACGTAGTAGAATGCAAACTTGACCTGAATTGTTGAGAAAAAACAAGACACTTCAAGGACACGTGGTTGCCCTTGATGTTGCTTTAGGTGGTGGCCCCAGGCCCTGGCAGTTTCTCTTCTGCAGTGGGCATTTTAGTGGAAAAGTGTAAGATCAGTGGGACACAGAAGCGCTGGGGACAGAAATAGAGTGTGTATATTAGGACTGCTTTGAACCTTAAAGAAAATAGAGATGTGTCATAGACAACTGTATTGAATCCATTCTCCGCAGTGTAGACTGCCCTTTGATACACGTTCCTCTAATGATTCTGGATGGGAGCTCTGACTACCCCCATTTTAGAAGAAACTGAGGCTAAAAGAGATGAGCGACTTACACAAGTCACCCAGCCAAGAGGTGGCCGAGCAGTTTTCCTTAAGCCTAACCCAGGGCTCTTTTGTCCAAAGCCTGGTGCTCACCACTCTGTCCCATGCCCATTTCAAACTCCAGGTCTTGCACTCTGCCTGCCCAGATCCCAGCAGTAATGAGTGACCTGGGGTCGAGACATTTCATTCCCAGGGAATACTTATGCATTTCCCTCATTTCCCAGCCTCCCTTGCAGTTTGTTTGGGACCATGTGACCAGTTCTGGCCAATGGGCTGTGAGAAGTGCCATGTGTCACTTCCAAGCTAAAGCATTGAAAAATTGGTGCAGGGTGACCCAGCTCTCTCTCTCTCTCTCTCTCTCTCTCTGCCACAGGGACCTGGAAGATATGTTTTAGGATGATGGAGACAGAAGATGGAAAAGCGTTCGGATCCTGAATGGCTGCTCTGGAGAGCCCCTGGGCCCGCTGCAGACTTTGTTTGAATGTGGAACTTTTTCTTTGTGGCTGAGATTTGGAGGTTTGCCTATCCAGATGATTATGTGACCTGTGCCCCACACTCAGTCCCTTGCAGAATCTGGCTTGCTTCTTTCTTTTATGGAGGTGGGTCTTGTATCTCCAGCGTCTGGGAGCTCCTTGAGGTCAGGCACGAGCCCAGCCCTCATGCTTACTTGAATCCTTTCACAGTCACAGTACAAAGCCCAGCACTGGGCTCGTAGTAGGTGATGAGTAAATACCTGCTGTAATTGGCATGAAGTGCCTCTCCAGTGGTGCCCCATGAGGGACTGCCACCAGGTGTCCTCCAAGGGCACAGTCTCCCACCTGGTCCAGGGCTCCTCTCTGATGAAACCCTGCCCTTGCCTGCTCCTCAGCTACGTAGTCTTTGAAACGGCTCTTCACCTTCTCCTCAACCTCATCTGGTTGAGGCCAGGGGCCACTTTAACCTGGCCAAAGCCAGTACCCTCTGGGCAAGGAGAGAGAGGCTCAGAGCAGAGCTCCGGCTCCAGTGAACACATTGATTAGAGTCATCAGACCACGTTCCCAGCTCCTCTTGCCTATCCTGCTTGATTTTTCTTCATATTGGTGGTTGACATTATACTTACTGTATTATATACACATTTGCCTTTTTTTTTTTTTTTGAGACAGAGTTTTGCTCTTGTTGCCCAGGCTGGAGTGCAATGGCATGATCTCAGCTTACTGCAACCTCCGCCTCCCAGGTTCAAGTGATTCTCCTGTCTCAGCCTCCGGAGTAGCCGGGACTACAGGCGCACACCACCATGCCTGGCTAATTTTGTATTTTTAGTAGAGATGGGGTTTCACCAGGTTGGCCAGGCTGGTCTCGATCTCTTGACCTCATGATCCGCCTGCCTTGGCCTCCCAAAGTGCTGGGATTACAGGTGTGAGCCACCGTGCCTGGCCTATGTTTGACATTTTATTATATATCTGTTTGTTGGCTTGACTATTATCAGAGGCCCCTAGTAGAGTGTGAGCTCTGTGACAGCAGGGACTTTGCTCTGGTCACTGCCATAACCCCAGAATCTAGAACAATGCCCAGCACATAGAAGGGATAGAAGGCACTCAACCGATATTGGATGGATCAATGTTGAATGACTATTTAACTTTTCAACTAAAATATATGAATTTAAGTTCCAGGTGAATTCCTTTTTTTTATCTTTTTTCTTTTTTTTTAGAGACAGGGTCTCTGTTGCTCAGGCTGTAGTGCAGTGGCATGATCATAGCCTTGAACTCCTGGGCTCAAATGATCTTCCTGCCCTCAGCCTCCCAAATAGCTGGAACTAAAGGTGAGCACCACCCTGCCTGGCTAATTTTTTAATTTTTTTGTTGAGACGGAGACTCGCTACATTGCCCAGGCTGGTTTCCAACTGCTGGTCTCTAGTGATCCTCCTGCCTTGCTGGGATTATAGGAATGAGCCACTGTGCTCAGCCAAATTCCCTTTTCCCCAAGAAAAGTGGGTATGGGACCAGGTGCAGTGGCTCACGCCTGTAATCCTAGCACTTTGGGAAGCCGAGGTGGGCGGCTTGCCTGAGCTCAGGAGTTTGAAACCAGCCTAGGCAACATGGTGAAACCCAGCCTCTATTAAAAATTAGCTGGTGTGCACCTGTAGTCCCAAATACTCGGGAAGCTGAGGCAGGAGAATTGCTTGAACCTGGGAGGCAGAGGCTTCAGTGAGCGAGATTGCACCACTGCACTCCAGCTTAGGGGACAGAGCGAGACTCCATCTCCAAAAAAAAAAAAGAAAAGAAAAGTGGGTATGTACTTACTTTATAACACTAGTGAAAATAAAAAGCACATTATTATATTCTTTTCTCCCAAAAGGTGAATGCAAAACTTTACCTCTTAGGGTGGTGGTAATAGCGACAACTACACCCACAATAATAATAACAAAAACCTGCGTTTACTTAGGGCTAAGTATGTGCCAGGCACTCTCTGCAAGGTACTTTTTTTTTTTGTTTTTTTTTTTGAGACAGTTTCACTCTTGTCACCCAGGCTGAAGTACAGTGGCATGATGGCATGATCTCTGCTCACTGCAACCTCCGCCTCCCAGACTCAAGCAATTCTCGTGCCTCAGCCTCCCGAGTAGCTGGGATTACAGGCGTGAGCCACCGCGCCTGGCCTACGTTGTGTTGTCTTTAAGGTAAGCGCTCTCATTAGCTCATTTTACAGGTGAAGACTTGCAGGCCCAGCGAGAGACTCACAGCAAAAGCGTGGTAGAACCGAAGCCCAGGTCTGCCTAACTCCACAGCCCTTGCTCTGAGCCCTGGGTCTCCAGGGGAGCCTAGAGACACCAGCAGCCTTGAAAGAGTAGTTTTCCCAGCTTCTGTTCCTTAAGGTCGAGACAGAAACACGCTAAGGCCTGATCCCACTGAGGCAGCTCGAGACTCTGGGGGTCTCTCTGCAGGAAGGGCTTGCTCCTTGGCCAAGCTGTCCTGTCCCAACCGGGGCTGTAATGTTCACTGTGTATGGGCGTCGTGTCATCAGCACCAAATCTTCTAATGACACACTGCAGCCAGGGAAATTACAGTGCCCGGGAGACTTGTCCCAGAGGCCCTGCCCGAGGTAATTCCAGAGCAGGAGCGCATGCTGGGAAATAACAAGAATGACAGAGTCTGGCTGCCAGCCTTAGATAATGGAATGGTGAGTGATTTTATTTTACTTATACAGATCTTTTTCTTGAATTTTAAAAATATTGAAAAATGGTATCAAAAGTAAAAATTAGCGCTAACCTCATCATTTAAATTATGCCCTCCAACTTCACTCCCCAGAGGTGAGCATGCTGGAGACTCAGATATGTCCCCTTTCTGAATTGGCTTCTGCCTCTACATATGCACATATACAATTCTCACCAATGGAGTCACATTCTACATATCAGCCTGCGCCCTGCTTATGTCACTTAATGATACATCACAGACATTTTTGGAGATTATTCATTTTCATGGTTGTCTAGTAGTGGAGCAGAATTTAAAAGATGCTAGTGTTCATTTAAAGATATGCTACTTAGTACTGAATGGGAGTGAGGACGTGGTGCAACAGGAACTCTTGTGTGATGATGCTGGGGGTATAAACTGGTTAACTTTTTGGCAGTATCTACCAAAGCTAAAGAGAATCATACCTGCATCAGAAATGCACACATATATTCACTAAAATATATGTGTCTTTTAGTGAATATATTCTTGAACATGTACAAGAATACTCACAGCAGGCCGGGTACAGTGGCTCACACCTGTAATCGCAGCACTTTGGGGGGCCTAGGCAGGCAGATCACTTGAGTTCGGGAGTTTGAGACCAGCCTGGCCAATATGGTGAAACCCCACCTCTACTAAAGAAAATGCAAACATTAGTCTGGCATGTTGGCACATGCCTGCAATCCCAGCTATTTGGGAGACTGAGGCAGGAGAATCGCTTGAACCTGGGAGGCGAAAGTTGCAGTGAGGTGAGATGACACCACTGCACTCCAGCCTGGGTGACACAGTGAGACTCTGTCTCAAAATAAAAAAATAAAGTATATTAATAGCAGCACTATTGATAATAGCTCTAAACTGAAACAACTCAAATATCTGTCAAAAGTCGATGGTTATTTACACAGTGCACATCATGCAACAATGGGCATGAAAGAACTCCAACTCTACACGGCAGCAGGATGATCTGCACAGTTATAACGCTGGGCCAAAGAAGGCACACACAGAAAAGTCTACACTGTATGATTCCCTTTATATAAAGTTCAAAATCAGGCGAAACCAATTTGTGGTGTTAGATGTCAGGAAGTGGGCACGAGAAGAACTTCTAGGGGCTGATGATGTCCTGTTTCTTGATCTTAGGGCTGGTTACACGGGGTGTACAGTTTGTGAAAATTGTGCACTTTTCTACATGTGTTATACATCAGTTAAAGTCTATATATATATATATATATATATATTTTTTTTTTTTTTTTTTGAGACAGAGTCTTGCTCTGTCGCCCAGGCTGGAGTGCGGTGGCATGATCTCGGCTCACTGCAAGCTCCGCCTCCCGGGTTCACGCCATTTTCCTGCCTCAGCCTCCCGAGTAGCTGGGACTACAGGCACCCGCCACCATACCCGGCTAATTTTTTGTATTTTTAGTAGAGACGGGGTTTCACTGTGTTAGCCAGGATGGTCTCGATCTCCTGACCTTGTGATCTGCCCGCCTCAGCCTCCCAAAGTGCTGGGATTACAGGCTTGAGCCACCGCGCCTGGCCAAAGTCTATATTTTTAAAGAAGTGTCAATGGCAGGCATCCCCTCCAAAAATTCAGTCTTGTTTACCCTAAGTTTGTCCCCTTCTTCCTTTTCTTCCAGCACCTAATGAGCTGCATGTAGGACAGTGCCTTATGTATGATGTGACCCAGGGAGGGAATGGGAGTTGCACGTTGTGGTTTTTAATCCCTGGGACCAGGTGGTCAGCCTCAGGTGATGACTGAGCCTGTGCTGTCCCCACGTATTTGCTCTCAGGTAGTCAGTGAGCAATGGGGTAGAGAGAATGTCAGCGGGAGGGGGTGGGAGGAGGAGGAAAAAAAGGAGGAAGAAGAGGAGGAAGAAGAGGAGGAAGAGGAAGAGGAGAAAGAGGGAAAGGTTGCTGTTCTCAGGACTG
This sequence comes from Homo sapiens, assembly GCF_000001405.40. Taxonomy (NCBI): domain Eukaryota; kingdom Metazoa; phylum Chordata; class Mammalia; order Primates; family Hominidae; genus Homo; species Homo sapiens. The sequence continues at coordinate 398,306 of NW_013171814.1, read as the reverse complement.
CTGAGGGGACTGTCTTGCACATGGGCACTTGCATGAGTGGTGGAATTTCTGGGGTCCTAGCTACTATTACAGCAATGACAATAACAACAACTACTACTATTATTAATAGCATCCAACTTTTCTTGAATTCTTACCTATTGCCAAACACGGAGCTGAGTGCTTTATATGCATCACTCATGTGGATCCTTTTAACACTGTGTAGTTTTTATCAGTACCCATTTGCATGTTGGAGGCTCACATACATACAGTAAGCCCCTGACCACCACACCACACAAGCCCCTGCTTGTTTTGATTATTCAGTTGTTTATCTGGAGACCTATTATGTGCATGATGCTGTCGAGGATTGAGGTATAAAAATGGATGTGTGCCAAGCATGGTGGCTCACACCTGTAATCCCACCACTTCGGCAGGCTGAGGTAGACGGATCACCTGAGGTCAGGAGTTCGAGACCAGCCTGGTCAACATGGTGAAACCCCATCTCTACTAAAAATACAAAAAAATTTAGCTGGGCATGGTGGTGTGTGCCTGTAGTCCCAGCTCCTCAGGAGGCTGAGGCAAGAGGATCACTTGAACCCAGGAGGCGGAGGTTGCAGTAAGCCAAGATCACACCACTGCACAGCCTGGGCAACAGAGTGGGACTTCATCTCAAAAAAAAAAAAAAAAAAAAAAGTATGTGATACAGTCTCTATAGTGTCTGAGCAGGTTAATAATTGGGTGCTTATCCAAACCAATTGTCAGTGCTTTATTTCTTATTTTGGGAGTGCTCAAAATAGGTGATTCATTTCTTTTGCTATTTACTTTTATCTCCTTAGCAAGATATGTTCCCTCTTTAAATATTAGAGACTAAATTAACAAATACAAAGGGAGGGCTGGGCTCAGTGGCTCACGCCTGTAATCCCAGCACTTTGGGAGGCCGAGGCGGGTGGATCACCTGAGGTCGGGAGTTCGAGACCAGCCTGACCAACATGGAGAAACCCCATTTCTACTAAAAAATACAAAATTAGCAGGGCATGGTGGTGCATGCCTGTAATCCCAGCTACTCGGGAGGCTGAGGCAGGAGAATCGCTTGAAACCAGGAGGCAGAGGTTGTGGTGAGCCGAGATAGCGCCATTGCATTCCAGCCTGGGCAACAAGAGCAAAACTCTGTCTCAAAAAACAAAACAAAACAAAACAAAAACCACCAAATACAAAGGGAGAAGAATTTTGTGAAAATCACCTCTTGTGTTTTTTACAGAGAACTTCTTGACATCTGAACACAACTCATTTCAGACTTTAAAAAAATACATTTTTATGTGCTCACTATATAATAGGTGCTCACAGAAAATTTGCTGAATGAATGCTTAAATTGTTACAAAATGACACTATTGTATGATTTTTTAAACTGCTCATTCCCTGACACAAACACACTTAATGCTGTAATGAGAACATATTTCCAGGTTCATGAACACGCAGCTACTTCTGATGCTTTCGTTCATCATTAGTAGGGATGATTTTTTTTTTCCATGTGTTTGGGAGACATTTCTGTTTCTTTTGTGGATTTCTTGTTTATGTCCTCTGCCTATTTTTTTCTCTGGGTTTGTTACTCTTTGTGGTCATTTGTCTTAAAAATTTTTTTCAAAGTAATTCATACACAAAATTTTAAAAGTCGAGTAGTATTGAAAGTCTTATAATAAAAAATTGCAGTCCACTGTTGTTTCTCTCCCACCCTAGGTTTATTCCCCAGAAGTAACCCTTTCAACTTTTCAAGCTGTTTCTTTCAGTATTTATCACTATAACTTTTTAGGGATATATAAAATATTCATTAAAAATGTAAAAATAGTATATATTCATCATCAAATATTCAAAAGACACAATAATGCATTAAATAAAATGTTAAAGCCCTTCTTAATTTCTCCAATGCTACTTTTCAGGGGTAAATTTCATTAGAATGGATTACAATAGTCCCTCCTTATCTGCAGTTTTGTTTTCCACTGTTTCAGTTACCTGTGATATATATATATATCATTTTTTATATATATGTGATATATATCATATATGATAGATATATGTGTGAGATATATATATATATGTATTTTTTTTTTTCGAGACAGCATCTTGCTCTGTCACCCAGGTTGGAGCGCAGTGGTGTGATCTTGGCTCACTGCTGCCTCGACCTCCTGGGCTCAATGCATCTTCCCACCTTAGCCTCTTGAGTAGCTAGAACTACAGGTGTGTGCCACCACACCCAACTAATTTTTGTATCTTTTGTAGAGATGTTTTTGTTTTTGTTTTTTGTTTTTTGTTTTTTGAGACAGAGTCTTGTTCTGTCTTCCAAGCTGGAGTGCAGTGGCGCAATCTTGGCTCACTGCAACCTCTGCCTCCTAGGTTGAAATGATTCTCCCACCTCAGCCTCCCAAGTAGCTGGGATTACAGGCATGTGCCACCATTTCCTGCTAATTTTTTTGTATTTTTAGTAGGGATTGGATTTCACCATGTTGAACTCCTGACCTCAAGTGATCCACCCACCCTGGCCTCCCACAGTGCTGGGATTACAGGCGTGAGCCACTGCGCCCAGCCTAGAGATGAGGTTTTGCCACGTTGCCCAGGCTGGTCGCAAACTCCTGGGCTCAAGCCATCTGCCCACCTTGGCCTCCCAAAGTGCTGGGATTACATGCGTGAGCCAGTGTGCCCAGCCATGGTCTGAAAATATTAAGTGGAAAATTCCAGAAAGAAGCAATTTATATATAAGTTTTAAATTGTGTGCCATTCTGAGTAGCGGATAAAAATCTCGTGTTGTTCTGCTCTGTCTTATCCGGGACGTGAATCATCTCTTTGTCCAGTGTGTCCATGCTGTAGGCACTTCCCACCCATTGGTCACTTAGTAGTGTCTGTTAGCAGAGCAACTGTCATCGTATTGCAGAGCTTGTGTTCAAGTAACCCTTATTTTACTTAATGATGGCCTCGAAGCCCAAGAGTAGTGATGCTGACACGTTGTCTTAGGTATTCTATTTTATTATTGTTGTTAATCTTTTACTACATCTAATTTATAAATTCAACTTCGTCATAGGTATATATGCACAGGAAAAAATATGTAGGGTTCTGTACTATCTGTAGTTTCAGGCTTCCTGGGCGTCTTGGAACATATCCCTCAAGGGTAGTGGGGTACTACTGTATATCACCATATTCCAAAATAATATTCTTATTCTTATGTTTCTTGATACATCAATTTTAGATATCATCTAATAACCTCCTAGCTGGGGATTAGCTCTCTTGCAGCATCACATTGCTTCCCTTTCCAGTGGCCAACACTTACATTATTATGACTATGCCCGTATTGTACACCCTGAGTCATATAGTATACTATGATTGCATCTATTATTTTTACACAATGTGTTGGTATTTCTGAAGTTGAGTTGTCTAGGTTCTTTTCATTTGCTTCAAGTCCATTGTATTTTTTGCCATTGGTTTCCACACTCTTCAATTACTTCTCAATATAGTTTTTCTCAATGTTAAACCTACCAGATAGTTTGTCAGTTCAATTTTTTCCCCTTCTGGAGTCTCCAGCCCTCTGCCCTAGTCTGGACAGGTTGCCTCATAGGCCTGATGCACAGCAGTCACCCTGAAGCATCCCTCCACCTTCTATTGGGTGGGATCCCTCGTTACCGGCATCCCATGACTTTACCTTTCTTGGTTTAGTCCCTCATTTTGGTGCCAATTGTCTTTAAGTAGCCTGCCTGCCTGCCTGCCTGCATTCCTTCCTTCCTTCCTTCGTTCCTTCCTTCCTTCCTTCCTTCCTTCCTTCCTTCCTTCCTTCCTTCCTTCCTTCGTTCCTTCCCTTCCTCCCTTCCTTCCTTCCTTCCTTCCCTTCCTCCCTCTCTCCTTCCCTCCTTCCTTGCTGCCTTCTTTCCTTCCCTCCTTCCTTCCTTCTTTCCATCTCCCTTTCTCCTCCTTCTCTTTCTTCTTCTTCTAAGCATAACCAAGGGCTTCACAGCAAGAGACAAGGGAAGAAGGACCCACTGGCAGCTTCAGCCTCTGGTCTGTTGTCTCAGCAATTCCACTCTGGCCCTGGACTTGCACTTAGCAAAACTAAAGCCCTGCAAATGACTACACCCACCCTGTTCACAAGGTGAGGGTTTTTTAGGGGCCACCAGGTGTTACCAGAGCTTGCCTGTTAGGGATTCACTCCCTGCCCATTCATGCCTCAAACTATATGGAGAACCCCCTGCAGGGGAATACTCTATCCTGTTGCTTTCTTGATTACTTTTGGTTCCACTGTGTAAAGGGACCCTGAGGACTGAATCCAGCACCTCAAAAGCCACCTGCCTAAAAAGGCAGTCGCATTCTTTCCATTCCCCTCTGCTCTTCCCCATGTGTTTTTCCTCTCTCCCTGGACTGGAAATTTTTGGATGTCAAGTTGTTTTTGTTTTGCTGGCACTGCCTCAGCTTAGGCACTCCTGGCTTCTGGCTTGAACAATTCAGGGGCCTCCTGGGCACTGTCTCGATTCGCATGCTGCCCCCTGCTAATCCATACTTCTAGTTAGGGCAGAGAGTATGTTGTAACATCCAACATTGAGTTATTTTGTTTGTAAAAAACCACATCTCCACATCTCCACACAGGCCCCTTGGCCTGAAATGCATTTCCCTGCTCTCTAGCTGATGAAACCCATCTCTTCTTTCAATGTCCAGCTCAAACATCTACTCCTTCAAGAAGGCTTCCAGTCTCTTCTGTCGGAATGAATCACATCCTGCAGCACTTTATATGACATTTTCTTCTAATCCCTGTCCTTGTCTGCCATGGGAAAGCAGAGAGAGGAGTCAAGTAACCCAGGACAGATCCTGTGGCCAACTAGCAGAGCCACAGGCCACCTCAGCTGGCCCATCTGCGTACTTGTCAGGGAGGAGAGCTTGACTTTGTTCAATACCTATTAAGTGCCATGTCCTAGGCTAAGAATTTCACTGACATAGTGCAATTACATGCTGAACCCCAAAGCTCTTTCAGCAACAAACTTCTCTGCATATGTCCACTTTGAGAGTCTGGGCAGATAATGAGATAGACAAAGAATTGGAGGTGGGGGAATGAAACAGAGAGGACATTTGTTTTTGTAGATTAGCCTACTGTCATCTGGCTCTCTATCTGGTTTAGGGGAATTCTTACTTGAGTCTTTTTTTGTTTTGTTTTTGTTTGTTTTTTATTTTTATTTTTTAAATCTGAGACTGCGTCTCACTCTGTCACCCAGGCTGGAGTGCGGTGGTGCAATCTCGGGCTCACTGCAACCTCTGCCTCCTGGCTTCAAGCCATTCTCCTGCCTCTGCCTCCTGAGTAACTGGGATTTCAGGCATGCGCCACCATGCCCAGCTAATTTTTGTAGTTTTAGTAGAGACAGGGTTTCACCATGTTGATCTGGCTGGTCTCGAACTCTGGACCTCAGGTGGTCCACTGCCTCGGCTTCCCACAGTGCTGGGATTACAGGCATGAGCCACTATGCCCGGCCCTTACTTGAGTCTTATTGAGAGGATAATGAGCAAGATACTTGCTTTCCCAGCTTCCCTAGTGACCAAGTACAGTCATGTGACCTGGGATTGGCCAATCAGATGCCCTCATCCTGGTCCTGGGATCAGGGTCTGGGAATAGAGAAGCAGGGATGTAGGAGAATCATTCCGGAGGTGGACAGTGGTCACATCCTGTTTCTAGGGGGCAGCAGGGACGGCTAGGCCAACAGCAGCGTCCAGCGTTTGGTGTCTAGTGCTGATGTCAGTGGAAAGAGAGGAGCCTTCTGGGGCTCTGTGGCAGGGCCAGTGCGGGTCTCAGGAGGCCAGCACTGTGGTGTGGTTTGGCAGCCACCCCTGCTGTGGAGAAGTTCTCTGGCATGTTGTTGATTCTGTGACCTACCCAGGATCCCCTCATGACTTTTCTTTTGTGCTTAACTCAGCCAGAATAATGTTCTGTATTTTGCAACTAGGAAGACTGACCATGGATAGAGGCCTGGAGAGGCATAGGGACATGGTTGGCTGCAAAATCTCCCAGAGGGCTGGGAATCTCTGTGCCTCCAAAAGGTGTTGATGACCATGGTGTCTTCTCCACCCAGGTGGTCACTTAGGTCCTAAGCAGAAAGATACCACTCACCAAGGGCAGAGTCGCAAAGTTACAGAAGCCCCGGAAATGCTCCAGGAGGATGCAACTGAAAAATAGAACCATCCTAGGCAGTGGCCCTTCATCATGACAGCCACGCAAGCTGAAGGAGAAGGCCACTGTTCAGAGCAGCAGGGCCTAGAGTCCCATGGGCAGGAGGCATGGGCTCTTACCTTGCTGCAATTAACTCGCTGGGCAGCGTGGGCAAGTCCATCCTTTTCTCTGGGCTGCAGCGTCCTCATCAGGAGCCCTGGAATGTGGGCAGATAAATAGGGAGGCCTTGTCCGGCGCCACAGCTTCCAGGACCAGCACTGAGAGCTTCTGAGCTGCCCATGCCCCATGCCCTGAACTCGCGTGCTCTCCCTGACAGCAAGTCCTTGCCTTTCAGAGACTGGGTGCTCAGAAAGTGTGGGTTAATGGACCAGGGACTGGCTGGCTCTGTTAGGTGTGTGGGGTAGATGGCTGGGGTCCTGACAAGCTCCTTCTCCTTGGGTCCTGGGCCATGCCTAATGATCTTTTTCTGGGAGCTCAAGATCTGCCTTTCCTCGGTCTCTACAGAGGAAGAAGGGGAGAAAAGGGGATGGAGAAAGGGGAAGGAGGGCGGCTGGCCTGGCAGTGGCCCCAACGCAGCCTCGGCAGGCACTTTCTGGGAAGCCGCCCCCGGAACCTAGCCCCATGAAGGCCTAGAAGGCCCCGTCTCGTCTCCAGCCCGTTTCCCTTGAACCGGAGCCAGGCGGTCCTCACGCATTACTCACTGGCGGGGCGGCCCTGGCCCGGGGCCAAGGCAAACAGGCCTCCAGCCTGCCTGGGGGCTGGTCGGGCCGGGCTGAGGAGGGGAGGGAGGCACCCGCACAGCCTCCTGCCTGCCTGCGTCCTCCTGCCAGCTCAGCCCAGCCCCAGCCTGGTTGAGGGTCGGGCTTGGTCCCAGCCTCCCCCAGGGTTGGCCTGGCAGTTCCTCTGAAGCTGGCATGGCTGAGATCTTCCTCCTGCCTGTGCCCCTAGCAAGGGCTTCACCCGGGTCCTCCTTCTCCATCAAGGGAGAGATTGTGACTCCTGCCTTGTAGCCAATGCAGTGGCTTCACCCCCTGCCTGTCACTAACCAGCCCCTAGGACAGCAGAGGAGGAGGAAGCCCGGCCCTTCCCAGGCTCCAGGTCTGCATCTCAGGAGCATCTATTCAGGATGACCGATGTGATGATATGGGTTGTCCATCAATATTGTGAATTAGGAGTGCAGAAGAGAAGCAGACCACATGAGCTAGGAAGGCTTCCTGGAGGAGTGGGGCCTGGCAAGGCCTTGAAGGATGATTTAGACAGCCTTGGTGGAGGAAGACAGGAGGGTCTGTACAGTGGGTGTGTTTCTCAGGATGTGATGGGTCTGAAGATGGGGACCTGGGTAGAGGCTGAGGTAGGAAGGGGAAGATAGCTAGGTGAGGAGGATGACACCAGGTACTGTGCCTGGGCAAGCCCAATCAGCCTTTTCCCAGAAGCTCCCTTTCCACTTATGCACCTACCCATTCAACCCACCCATCTGTTCATCTGTCCATCCACATACACATCCACCTATCCATCCATCTACCCATCCCCACATCATCCATCCATCCATCCATCCATCCATCCATCCATCCATCTATCCACTCATCCATCCATCCATTCATCCATCCATCCACTCATCCAATTATCTACCTATCCACACAGCCATCTGCCCATCCATTCATCCATTTACCTATCCATACACTCATCTACCCTTCCATCCTAGCTACAAATATCTGTTGAGCATCCACTTATGAGCCAAGCCCTGTACTAGAATATTCTCACCGACCTTTGTGCATGCAGGCCTGGCTCACAGTAGGCTCAATAAATATTTGTTTAAATATATGGAGAAGTGATGATCAGAGGTGACCTGTCACTATCGTCAGTGAACTTATCATCTTGCAGAACAAAACATGTAAAATTATCAATTGTGATAAGTGCTATGAAGGGAAAGACCAGGGTGCTAAGAGAAGCAAGGAGGAGGTAAAAACTAAGGGCTCTTAGGCTGCTGTGTGATCCTGGACAAGTAACTTGACCTTGTTCTTCCTCACTTTCTGCATCTATATAATGGGAATAATGATAGTACCTTATAGGGACGTCCATTAAGTTTTTTGCAATTATCAAAATCAGAAAGCTTTAATATTAACACAACTTTCTAGTCCACCATGCACATTTAGTTTCAGTTGTCCCAATAATGTCTTTTTCTTACTAGCTTTATTGAGATATAGTTCACATACCATACAATTTGCTCACTTAAAGTATACAATTCAAGGGTTTTTTAGTACAATCATAGGTATGGGCAACCATTACCACTCACCACTGTCAACTTTAGAATATTTTCACCACTCCAAAAAGAAATCCTGCATGCTTTAGCTACCACCCACTTTCTTCTCTCCACCCTCTCCCCTGCACCAGCCCTAGAAAGCCACTAATATGCTTCTCATCTCTATAGATTGCCCTGTTCTGGATATTTTATATACATGAAATCCTACAATATGTGGTATTTTGTTACTGGCTGAAAATAATGTTCTCAAGGTTCACTTGTGTTATAGAATGTATAAATACTTCATTCCTTTTTTTTTTTGACTTTAAAAAAAGTTTTAAGATTTTTAGAACAATTTTAGGTTTGTAGCAAAATTGAGTGGAAAGTACAAAGGGTTTGCATATACCACTTCCTCTCCCTCTCAGCCTTTCCAGCCACCAACAATCCCATATCAATGTGGTACACTTATTACAATCAATGAACCAACACAGACCCATAATTATCAATCCAAGTTCATAGTTTACATTAGGGTTCACTCATTTTGGTTGAGTAAATATTCCATTGCATATGGATGTACAACATTGTGTTTACCTATTCATCAGTTGATAGGCATTTGGGTTGTCTCCATCTTTTGTCTATTATGAATAATGCTGATATAAACGTTTGTGTACAAGTTTCTATATGACCATGTGTTTTCATTTCTCTTGGGCATATAACTAGGAGTGGAATTGCTGGGTCATAGGGTAACTCTATGTTTAATCTTTTGAAGAACTGCCGGACTATTTTCCAATGTGGCTGCACCATTTTACATCCCCACCAGCAGTGTATAAAAGTTCTGATTTCTCCACATCCTTGTCAACACTTGCTATTATCTGACTTTTTGAGTTTAGCCATCCGAGTGGATGTAAAGTGGTTATCTCATTCATTGTAGCTTTGATTTGCATTTTACTGATGACTAATGGTGTTAAGTTTCTCTTCACGTGCATGTGCCTATTGGCCATTTGTATATCTTCCTTGTGGAAATGTCTATTCATAGCCTTTGCCCATTTAAAAATTGATCTATTTGTCTTTTAATTATTGAGTTGTAAGTGGTCTTTTTTTTTTTTGAGATTTGCTCTGTCACCAGGTTGGAGGGCAGTGGTGCGATCTCGGCTCATTGCAACCTCCGCCCATTGCAACCTCCGCCCCGCCAGGTTCAAGCGATTCTCCTGCCTCAGCCTCCCGAGTAGCTGGGACTACAGGTGCGTGCCACCACGCCCAGCTAATTTTTGTATTTTTAGTAGAGACAGGGTTTCACCATGTTGGCCAGGCTGGTCTCGATCTCTTGGCCTTGTGATCCACCCGCCTAGGCTTCCCAAAGTGCTGGGATTACAGGAGTGAGCCACCGCACCTGGCCTAAGAGTTCTTATGTATTATGAATACAATTGCAATTTTTTTCTCCCACTCTGTGGGTTATCTTTTCATTTTTTTTGTGTCATTTGAAGCACAAAAGTTTTAAATTTTCATGAAACCTGATGTTCTATTTTTTTCTTGTGTTGCTTATGTTTTTGGCATTATATCTAAGAATCCTTTGTCAAATCCAAGGTCATGAAGGTTTATTCCTATATTTCTTCTAACAGGTTTATAGTTTTTAACTCTTACATTTAAGTATTTGATTGAAGTTAATTTTTATATATAGTACGTGATGGGGATCCAACTTTGTTCTTTTGTATGCAGAAATCCAGTCGTCCCAACACCATCTGTTGAAAAGACTATTCTTTCCCCATTGGATGGTCTTGACACCCTTGTTAAAAATCAGTAGATGCATGGATTTATGTCTGAACTCTCAATTCTATTCCATTGATCTGTATGTCTCTCCTTGTGCTGTTACCACATTGCCTTTACTACTGTTGCTTTCTGGCAAGTTTTGAAATTGGGAAGTGTGAGTCCTCCTACTTTGTTCTTCTTTTTCAGGATTGTTTTGCTTATTTTGGGTCCCTTGCAATTTCATCCAAATTTTAGAATCAGCTCGTCATTTTCTACAAAGAAGTCAGCTGGGATTCTGACAGGGATTGCATTGAATCGGCAGGTGAACTTGGAGAGTACTGACATCTCGGTGATGTAAAGTCTTCCTATCTATGAATAAAGGACTGTTTTTCCAGTTATTTAGACCTTCTTTAATTACTTTCAAGGCTTTTTATTTTTCAGAGTATCAGTTTTACCCTTTTTTGTTGTATTTATTTCTAAGTTATTCATTCTTTTTGATGCTGTTGTAATGGAATTGTTCTCTAATCCCATTTAATTCTCCACAAATGCTTATTGTGCTCAGCACCGTTAGAGGTGCCAGGGATATCGCAATGAGTATGTTGTGAGGATGAATGAGATAATCTCTGCAAAGGGTGATAATGTATTTTGTATTATTGTTCTTCCTGTCTTTCCCCTTTTCATCTTTTTTTTTTTTTTTTTTTTTTTTTTTTTCTGAGATAGAGTCTTGCTCTGTCACCCAGGCTGGACTACAGTGGTGCGATCTCAGCTCACTGCAACCTCTGCCTCCCAGGTTCAAGCAATTCTCTTGCCTCAGCCTCCCGAATAGCTGAGATTACAGGCGCCTGCCACCGTGCCCTGCTAATTTTTGTATTTTTAGTAGAGATGGTGTTTCACAATGTTGGCCAGGCTGGTCTCAAACTCCTGATCTCATGATCTGCCTGCCTCGGCCTCCCAAAGTGCTGGGATTACAGGTGTGAGCCACCGCGCCTGGCCTCCCCTTTTCTTTAAGCAGGTCCTAAGAAAGCATCCTGCAGAGGCAGGAGGGAGCTCTTTTCCTTCAGGAAGAGAAGACTTGCCAGTTGGCGATGGTTCCTGAAGCAGCGGGAGGAGCTGACTGTTTACCAGGGAAGCATACTTGCCTGCTTTGTGTGACTGTGAGGACAAGACTGCAGGAAGGCTGAGGGAGCTGCTCCCGGGAAATGGGCATCCTTCAGAAGCCTGGGAAGGCCAAGCTGAAGGAAGGGCCTAGTGGAGGCCCTGTGCCTCCTGCTAAGAGGTTCCTGGAGGGAGCAGCATTGCTCCCTAGGCCCAGGCTTGGCTACCTCCTCCACAGGCTTTCATCTTTCATCTGTGGCTTCTTCTCAATTTCACATCCCTTTGAGGATCTCCTCCTGCCATCCTTCTCTCCTTCCCCGCATGCCTCTCTAGCACCCAGGAGCTGGGCAGCAGGAAGTCTTGGGATCCTGGATTGTGCAAGACCCTGCCCATCGGATTAAGTTGGGAGAGGGAGCGGTGCCTCCTCCTTGCTACCAACCCCCTAGAAACACTGGGCCAGCAGGTGGGGAGATTTCTCACCACAGCAGCTGGCTCTTTCCTGCATCTGGCTCCGGCCTGGACCCCTTACCCTGGCCACAAGGGGGAGAGTGTCTGTTGGCCTGGCCAAGCAGGGGCCTGGGGTCTGAGACGGCCAGCGCCAGTCCGGGCATCTCCCTCCCTCTACACAGGGCCTCTTCCTCCTCCCCACTGTCTGGAAGGCCCCAACAGGTTCCTCATTTCAATAGTGGCTTCCTCTCTAGCCCAGGCCCTGTGGCGCCTGGGGGCAGTCTGATGGCCCCAAGCCTCACATCTGTCCACAAGCCACCTCCATCTTTGTCTACACCAAAAACACCACGCCCACTGCCCTCATGTCATAGGCCAAACCACAGAGGGCTGACTAAGGCTCAACTGTGTGTTCAGCACCCTGGGTCTGGAGGGGTGGGGACACAGGAGGAGGTGTGGCCCTTGTTCTGGCCCTTTTCTGTTCTCCATACAGGGCCCGGCACCACACATGGGGTGTGACCCAGGTCAGAGAAGGGAGGTGAGCGTGGGAAGCCGGGCTGTGGTAGGTTCGGGGCAGGACGTCTGGGTCCTCGAGGTCAAGCAGTGTAGCTAGGCACTCAGGGATCCTCATCAAGGCCCTGAGGGAGACAGTCCTCCCTCTGCCTGGAAGCTGTGGGTAGGCCAACAGCTCCCCCAAGGAGGGGGGTCCTGGCCAACAAGATGAGGTAAGACTGCTACAAGGTGAGGCTGAAGAGTGGAGTGGCCAGAGCATGGACTGTGGCCCAGAATTCTTGGGCTACAACAACCTGCTGCCTGTGTGACCTCGAGAAAGTGACTTTGCTTCCCTGGGCCTCAGTTTTCTCAGCAGTAAAATGGGATGATGACCTTACCTTAGACTCTAAGGCTTAACGCAGGGGTTTTCAGCCTAGACATTATTGACATTTGGGGCTGATGATTCTTTGTTATGGGGCCTGTCTGATGCATTGTAGAGTGTTAAGCAGCATCTCTGGACTCTACTCATTAGATCCCAGTAGCAACTCCCTGTCCCCAGTTGTGACAACCAAAATGTCTCCAGACATTGCCAAGTGTCCCCTGGGGGCAAAATTGAGCCTGAATTGAGAACTACTGGGATTGTGTAGTACTTAACTGAGTTACTATATTCAATGCACTTAGAACAGTACCTGATTCAGAGGAAACACTCAATAGTTCTTAGTGTTATTGTTACAAGCAGGTGACAGAGGCAAAAACAAAACAAAAACATGAGACAAAGACAGAAGAACATGTCTAATGTTCTTGGTTACTAGAGAGTAGGGTCCGGGATGAAGAGGAGAAAAGACTGTGTTTTTAAAAATTCCATCGCTGGGGCCAGGTGCGGTGGCTCACTCCTGTAATCCTGGCACTTTGGGAGGCTGAGGTGGGCAAATCACCTGAGGTCAGGAGTTTGAGACCAGCCTGGCCAATGTGGTGAAACCCTGTCTCTACTAAAAATACAAAAATTAGCCAGGCGAACCCAGGAGGCGGAAGTTGCAGTGAGCCGAGACCATGCCATTGCACTCCAGCCTGGGCGATAAGAGCAAAACTCCATCTCAAAAAAAAAAGAGAAAAAGAAAAAAGAAAAATTCCATTTTTGAGGGTGAGCACAGTGGCTCATGTCTGTAATCTCAGCAATTCAGGTGGCTGGGATGGGAGGATCACTTGAGTCCAAGAGTTCAAGACCAGCCTGGGAGAGATGGTGAGACCCTGTCGCTACAAAAATTAAAAAAATTAGCTGGGCATGGTGGTGCACACCTGTGGTCCTAGCTACATGGGAGGCTGAGGCAGGGTGGTCGCTTGACCCCAGAAGGTCAAGGCAGCAGTGAGCCCTGATTGTGCCACTGCACTCCAGCCTGGGTGTCAGAGCTAGACCCTGTCTAAAAAAAAAAAAAAAAATTCCATCATTGGCTTGCCCAGTTCCTCCCTCCCCATGATTGGGTCTGTTAACCACAATGTGAACTGGGGCTCACAGTCAGTGCACTAGGATGTGCTGGGGCCCCCAAAGACACAAAGGAAGGGGAGACCCAGCCACCCCTGGCTTCCAGGGTATTAATCTTGACTCAAAGAAAAGCTTATACACTTTACATTACTTCTCAAAAGGTCAGGGGACAGAGTGACCAGCTAAAGCCAGGGCCAATTGGCCAGGCACTCAGCCACTCATTCATTCGTGCCTTGCTCATTGAGAGTCTGCTATGTGCCAGACGCAGTGCTGGTTGCATCATAAAAAGACGGAATTTGAGCAGTGATTTAATGGCTGGCCAAGCTTCAGCTAGATGGAGAGGAGGAGAAATAATGGCATCGAGGGTGGGAGCTGGGGGTTGGCAGGAGGTGGGAGGAGGCGAAACTGATCAGGCCAAGGCCCTAAGAAGTGTGGTGTGATTGGAGGGGTAGATTGGGGTCAGCTTGGGGAGGGCCTTGAGTATTGGCTTAGAGACACAATGCCAAGGCCTTGCAGGCCTCCCCAGGAAGGGGCTCTGGGGTGGCCCTTTATTTGTTATTTTATTTTATTTTTTTGAGATGGAGTCTTGCTCTGTCGCCCAGGCTGGAGTACAATGGCATGATCTTGGTTCACTGCAACCTCTGTCTTCCAGGTTCAAGTACATCTCCTGTCTCAGCCCCCCGAGTAGCTGGGATTACAGGCGGGCGCCACCATGCCTGGCTAATTTTTGTATTTTTAGTAGTGACGGAGTTTTACCATGTTGGCCAGGCTGGTCTTGAACTCCTGACCTCAGGTGATTTGCCTGCCTCGGTCTCCCAAAAAGCTGGGATTACAGGTGTGAGCCACCACGCCCAGCCTGGTGGGCCCTTTAAGCAGGGCTTGGGCTTGGGTTCCTACTCCCGCCTCCCAGCCCCAGGGCAGGGGCCAAGCAGAGGGGCTGCTCAGGGCAAGCACTGGTCCTGACTCATCCTCCATCACTGAGGGATGCTCCGCCTCAGTCTCCCTAGCTGAGAAATGGGCCTGTTCTATTTGTTCTATCAGCGATGGTTCCCACCTGCCTCCCAGGGCCCTCCACCTGGGCGTAATTAGACGCTGCCTCCAATTGCTTTAACTGCCTGCGGCAGTCAGGCAGCTCAACAGGAGGAAAGCATGGCGGCCCCTTTGCTAGTGAAGCAAACACCAGGCCTGACTGTCAGATGCAAGGTAACTGGGACCCAAGACAGAGCCAGGGGCTCAACGGGGATGGGGCGGGGCTGGACAGCAGGAGGCCAAGTGTGTGTGAGCACCTTCTCCTGGCCTTCATCTTGGCCACTCGCCTCCTCTGGGGCCCTTTGCTCTTGCCCAGGGTGCCAGGCGGGCAGCCGGCCTGGGCGGGACCACACCCACAGGGCTGTTAAAACCACCTGCAGCAGGCTTGGCCATGGGGAATGAGCTCACTGAGTCGCCGTCCTATGAGGGAGCCAGGTCCCAGCTGCATGAGCGTGACTGGTCTGCCTTGAAGCAGGGGTGCGGGGCCAGGCCTAGAGAGGCTGGCCCGAGGTTGTGCAGCTCTCCGGAGTCCAGCCTGCAGAGCCACACTGTAATCCCATGGGCGCAGGCATCCTTTCGGCTTCAAAGGGAATTTGGAAAACATGAATTGGTCTTTTGAACCCTGCTTGCCCCTTGGCCTGGGGCCCAGGCAGCTATAGAGAGCGTGAAGGGTCAGGTGGAGCCCTGTAGGAGGCTGGAGGAGGGCTAGAACTCCAGGCCAGCACACAGGGCGTCTGGGATCTGACCAAGGAGACGTCTCTCACCCACTGTGCGTCCCCTTGAGCAGGTCCCCTCCTCTTGAGCCCCGGTTTCCACTGGGGCCAGTGGGAGTCAAGAGGCCTGCCCGCCCTCCCTTCAGGGAGGTACTGGGGATCAAAAGAGATCACAAAGATAAAAGAGAATAGAAGAAAAGAAAGCTCAGAACACACGGACGTGGTTGTTATTGTCACTGTTGTTATTATTAGCTCCTCGCCAACCCCTCTCGGAACAGAGCCATGAGGGCAGGTTCTCAGCCCTACCTGGGAGCCCCAGAGGGAGCCGGGCTGTCCTGGTCCCTGCCAGGATCCCTGCTGCACCCCAAAGCTCTCTTTGGGAGCACCTCTGTCCCCCACCCCCATCTTCCAGCACAGTCCCCCTAAGGGTGAAGAAGGGAGAGGCGAGGGGCTTCGGTCTCTGTCGGGGATGGGACCCTCCTGGCACTGCTAAAGACACGTGGAAACACACACATACTTCCAAACATACACAATGCTCACACCCAGACATCTCAGACACACATCAGCGTGACTGAGCATTTGCACTTAGATCTTAACACAGGCACCTCTTACACACACACACACATACACACACGCCAGATACCATCTCTGAAGCAAACTCCATCATCACCTCCATCCATCAGAAGGCCATGGATAGGAAAGGGGCAGGCAGGGATATGAAAGGATATTATTACCTGGGTGGTTGTTGTTATTATGATAGTCCTTAGAAAAGTCTCTACTCGGCAGAAAACATCAAACGGCGGCCAGCAGCCTCAGATAGCAGAGGCGACAGGCCCTTTGGGGCCCTTTCCAGTGCAGACCTGCCTCCTCGTTTGCAAAAATGACTTATTATTAATCTGCGATTGAAACTGTAATTATGCCATCACGGTGTCAACAAGCTGGAACACGGCGAGGGCTGGCAGTGCCGCCTGGAAGTGTGTTCTTACCCTCCACTGTGGCCGTGCTGGCACCCGCACCAGCATGCATGTGTGGAGGGGGCCTCATGCACACCTGCCAAATCAGGGCCCACCTCCTCACGGGCGCCCAGCCCTGTGTGTGTGCACATGGCTTTGTGCCTCTCTTACCCGTGAGAGTCTGGCTGGAGGAGGTGAGGTCAATGCATGTTCCTGATGGGAGAGCAGCCCTCAGAGAGCCCCAGGGAGCTCCAGAGCCTCAGTCAGTGGATCCAGCGGGGATTGAACGTCAGAGTGTGCACGAGGGAGTCAGGGCCCAGGTGCAGGACACTCCCAGCTGTGCCTTTCTGAGTGGTCATTGTCCCAGCCTGCCCTCCACGATGGGGCCTTCTTCAGCACCCTTCATAGACACAGTGCCAGGGTCCTTCCAGCCCTGTCCCTGCTCTGCTGGGCCCTGATGGGTGGCCGCCCTGGGGCCCATTCCCCTGCCGTGTTCACCTGCTGATGACCAACCTGTATTGACCACTCATGACACGCTAGGTCTGGGGGAAGATACTTTATGTTCATGATCTCATTAAAAATTTTAAAACCATTTATATTGAAATGAAGTAAAATGTAAGTGTTAGCTCTGCAAATGAGGATGCTGTAGCCCAGTGAGGTTAGGTGGACTCCCCAGGTCTCACAGAGCCGGGGTTTGAAGCCAGGCGATCTGACTCCAGACTGCCGGCCTCCTGCCCCCTCCTCCCATGCGGGGAGCTTGGGAAGGCAGAGTCCTGGCTTTAGGTCCTCTGCCTCCCTGCCTGGAGTCTTGGGTATAGAAGATGCTCAGGAGATGGTCAATGAATGAAGGAATGAGGTGAAATTCAAAAGTTTAGAATTGGCTTGAGAGACATGAGCTTTCCAGAATTCATGGTGACCTGGGGTCACTACCTGAGGGTGTGCCAGGCTGAGACTTCTGGGTTGGGAAGGTGTCCTTTGGTGCCCAGAGACCACTTTTTTTTGCCACATAATTGGGCTGAGTTTGGGTAGCTAAGAAAATGGCAACCCTAACTGGCCCAGAAGGAAAGTGTGTATGTGTGTGTGTGTGTGTCTGTCTTATTTTATTTTATTTTATTTTATTTTATTTTATTTTATTTTATTTTATTTTATTTTATTTTATTTTATTTTATTTTATTTTATTGAGATAGTTTGCTCTTGTCCCCCAGGCTGGAGTGCAGTGGTGTGATCTCGGCTCACTGCAACCTCTGCCTCCTAGGTTCAAGCAATTTTCCTGCCTCAGCTTCCCAAGTAGCTGGGATTACAGGCACCTGCCGCCACGCCCAGCTAATTTTTATATTTTTAGTAGAGATAGGGTTTCACCATATTGGCCAGGCTGGCCTTGAACTCCTGACCTCAAGTGATCAGCCCACCTCAGCCTCCCAAAGTGCTGGGATTACAGGCATGAGCCACTACGCCTGGCCTTGTCTGTCTGTCTTCTGTCTGTACCTGCAAATGTGTTGTCATGGTTTCAAGAGACAGCAGAGCTGGAAGGGCTCAGAGCTAGCAGGCAGCCAAGCTGAGATGAGGACCTGGGCCTCCTGACTGCCAGCTGGGGATCTTCTATGCATCTGACTGGGAAGGTCACAGGGCCCTGGGCTGGCCAAGGTAGAGACAGCTTCAGGGGGCTGGTCAGAGAGCTTGGCCCTTTCAGATCTCCTCTGGAGGGTGACCACAGACTCGGTGGCCACATTCAGCCACTTCTCACTGCCCTCAGGGTCACTGGGAGAAGCCAGAAGTAGGAGGACTGTATTTGAGGCAGAAGGCAATGAGGCTCAGGAGAAAGAGGAATGGCTTTGGAGTGAGGTGAGACCTGGGGTTCAAATCCTGACTCAACCACATTCTCACCGAGTGCTCCTGGGTAGAGTAACTTTTCTGAGCCTCAATTCTTTCATTTGTAAAATGGAGATAGGCAGGTCTGCCTTACAGGGTTACTGGTGGGAAAAAATGAAAACATGGTTCCTAGCCCCCTGTGAGGAGAGGCACGCTGCCCCGATGGTTCCCAAGGCTACATTCTACGCAGACTCGGAACTTCTGCGGCACATACCCGATGCCTAACTACAAGTAGTTTTGGGTCTGGAAACTAAGTGTCTCAACCCTGTGGCGTGCCCCCCACCCAGACCCAAGGCCACTGTTCACCACCCCACGCCCCACAAATGTCTCAGTGCCCTGCCAGTCCTGGTCCACTCAGTTCCCTGGTGTTTCATTACTTTGACTTGAGGCTTACTGCAGTCTCTTTCTATTAGGGCCTAGGCCTTGTGCCAAAACTGTTGAGATGCAAATGTCCCCCTTCATTGGTTTACTTATTCATGCACTCACTCACACATTCATTCAACAAGCAATGAGTGGCAGACACTGGGGAAACTGAGACACAGCAGGGCCCCAGCAGGGCTTTCTGGGATCTGGAGCTGCTGGCAGGGCAGAGAGGGGGAGGCCGGCAGTTAGGGTGCCTGAGACCCTGCAGGAATAAGAAGTGGCCAGGAAAAAGGGGCAAGCAGGAGGGGCGGCTGCGCTGAAACCAGGCGTAATTGGGCTTCATTGATTCTATGTTAATGCCGCTGGAGCAGCTCAGTGCATGGCAGAAGGACCCAGCCAGGCTGGGTGGATGCTTTGAGGCAAACAAAGTCCTCTTTGGGGACTTTGTTACTACAGGGAGAGCCAAGGAGGGTCCAGGAGAGCCAAACCACTGTGGCTGTTTGAGGCCCACATTCTCTGGGTGGAGTGGGTGGCAGTGGTCCAGGTGGTCCAGGAAATAGGCACGAGGGGTGACCCAACCTGTAGATGTCACAGTTCGGGGGGCCCTCTGGGACTGTTCCCAGGCTGGGCCTCATGTGGGGAGGCTCGGATGGAGTTGGGGAGGTCGGGCCCCAGGAAGGCAGCAGGAGCAGGGTGCAGAGTGCGCGGCAGGTGGGTTGATGGGGAGCAGGGAGGCCACGGTGATGGATGGGCCCTGCTGACCTTGCCTGGGAACCAACGCCCGAGACGCCTCCCGCCAGCTGGAGAGAGCCAGCGGGTCAGATGGCAGCCCCTCCCCCGGGAGGCCGGCCCTGCTAAAGCAGGAGGGAGCTGGCAAGCCATGCAGTTCTCAGGCCAGGCCGCCCATCCTCCCCTCTCCCACTGCCTCTGGTCCACACGGATCTTAGGGCTGAGATGGCTTGGAATGCAGGGGCCCCTAGGGCCTTGGAGAGGGCTCACACCCCCTCCCTTGACAGAAGGAAGAAATTGGCTTTCAGAGACCTGGAAAGGCCCTCCCAACCCCCTCCAGGACTCCCAAACCAAGCCCCCAGCTTTTCTTTACAGGGGCAGGGAGCTTGTGGACAGCACTCCTTGTGCCCAGAGAGGGGAAGTGATTTGCCCAAGGTCACACAGGCAGGGAGAGGCAGACTCTCCCTGGAGAAGAAAGGAGGAAAAGACTTAGTTTGTCTTCAGGTCAGGCCTCCCTGAAAAACATACTTCTGTTTCCATAGAGGTGCATTTATCCGACGGCTGTGGCCTTGGGAAAAGACCAAGCCATTTGTACCTGGCTAGGTCAGAGAACCCAGGTTGTGGGGAAAGGTGAGGGGGCATGGCAGGGATGCTGGGGGCCTTGGGAGTGGAGCAGAGGCCCTGCTTGAGGGCACAGCAGGTCAATGGGTTGGTTGTTGCCATGGTTTGAATGTTTTTGCCGCCTCCAAAACTCATGTGTTATTAATGCCGCTATAAAAAGGGCTTGTGGGAGTGGGCTCCCCCTCTCTTCTGCTCTTCTGCCATGTGAGGACACGGCATTCCTCCCCTCCAGATGATGCAGTGTTCAAGGCACCGTCTTGGGAGCAGAGAAACCAGGCCCTAACCCGCCAGCACCTTGATCTTGGACTTCCCAGTCTCCAGAACTGTGAGGACACGTTTCTGTTCCTTATAAATCCCCTACTCCCAGGTGTTCTGTGACAGCAGCACACAAGGGGCTAAGACAGTTGTGAACCTGATTCTCCCCAGAACATGGAACAAAGGGCTCAGCACACGTTCAATTGTGGGCCACACCTGTTCAGCAGCCCTGAATGCAGCTAGTGTGCTCAAACACGCCTGTGTGTGTGCTGGGGGTTCCTAGCTGGGTGATGGGGTTGCTGGAAGAACAGCTCTACTTCCACCCTGCAGCCCAGGACTTGACCCCTTGCTGGGGGGCTGGACAGGCTGAGGGGAGGACAGAGCTTCTCAGGAGAAGGGGGGCGGAGAGAGGTCTTCTTACTGGGAAGGTGCGGATGTCCCTCTCTATGACAGCCCCCTCTGTGCCAGCCTCACAGCATGCCTGTAAGGTAGGTGCTGCCACCAGCATTTCACACCTGAGGAAACAGGCCCAGAGGAAAGCCGTGCGTGCGGGGCTGCCGGGAGGGAAAGGGGTGCCGGCGAGCAGCCCCGTCCTGCCTCTCCCGGCAGGTGGCGGGCAGCAGAAGGAGCCTAGGATTCCAAGCTTGGTGCAAATCTCCTAGTAACTGTGCCTTTGGATTAAACACTTCCCCTCTCTGCGCTCCGGCTTCCTTTTCTGCACTGTGGGAACAATAGTATTGTCTCCTTCTCCCAGGAGTGTCTCAGGGCCTGCATGGTGACAGATGTGAAAAGGAACTACAAAGCATGAGGTGCTGTCCCTGTAGCCCAGGCCTGCGGCTCCTTGTGGGGGAGGAAGGGCTCCCCTGGGGCCCTCTGCTCCAGGAGCACCATGCGTGTGCCCTGGCCCTATTCCCACAGGAAGAGGATGGGAGAGGTGGGGTTCTCACCTCATCCTGAAAGTAGGGCCCACTGTCCAGCAGCCTAACCCTCATCTCATTCCGGCAAGGGCAGATGTTTTAGAGAGGTGGGGCCTGTCTCCCCAGGCCTCATGACCTCAGGTGGGAGAGTCGAGTCCCTACGCCTGATGTCGCGGCCTGGAGATGCCGCTAGTTGGGTTAAGCGCCTGGCCCTCAGTTCACCTTCCAGTCCTGCTCACCTGCTCTGAGGTCATGTGCGTACAAAGGGCAGACTGGAACACTTACACAGGCTCAGGAAGCAGACGAGGCAGGCAATGAACTTAATTAATAGAATCAGGGCCTATAAATAATCTCTCCCTGCCCCCACCGCAGCAGGCTGTGCCCAATGGCTGGCTTGGCATTCCGAGGACTTGCCCATCAATCCAGGGACTTCTGTGTGCTCTGCCAGTGCTCAGGGAGGTAGAAGGCAGGACAGGCCTCTCAGGAGCTCAACGCTGAGCAGGGATGAGGCATTGAAACCACTGAGGTACCTTCCTGGGTGGTGGGATTCCAAGGAGGGAGAGGGCTGTGTGGCTGAAGGCCAGGAAGGCTTCCCAGAGGAGGTGGCTGCCAGTCTGGGAGATGCTCTGATAGGAAATGGTGAAGAGGGGTAGTAAGAAAGGAGGAGAAGAGATGGGAGAAGGGGAGAGGTCTGTGTGTCCCCCTGCCAGCAGCAGCAGATGCAGGGGCTCGTTTCTTTCCCTAGTTGAGAACTCCTGTGTGTGTCAACCTCAGGAGTAAGGGGGACCCCCCACGTGCAAACCTACTAACTAGGCCCTGTGAGTTGCTCTCCGCTAGTAGTGACAGACTCCTCACTCCTTCCCTCTGAGGTGGGTGCCTTGTTGCCAAGGAAAGGGAGGCACAGAGAGGCTGATCTTGCTGCCTGTGGCCCTGCAGGAAAAGGAGGAGATGTTGGATGGGCATCTTCTGACTAAGCACGGGAACAGAACTGATTGAGGGGCCCCCTGGCTGTGTGTCCTGCAGGCTGATCCCAGCCCACAGGCTGCTGTTCAGCCTGGCAGGGACACTGAGGCAGGCTGGTTGCTGGAAAACACCAGACTCCCAGGGGCTGGCTTTGGCTCAATGACTCTAGGTGGACTTGCCCACCTTCCTTAGATCTCAGCGGTCTAGGATACTTTCACCTGGCCTTTCCTCCTTGGTCTTTCACTTTCTTTCTTTTCTTCTTTCTTTCTTTCTTTCTTTCTTTCTTTTTTTTTTTTTGAGACAGAGTCTTGCTCTGTTACCCTGGCTGGAGTGCAGTGGCACAGTCTCGACTCACTGCCTCCTCCACCTCCTGGGTTCAACCAATTCTCCTGCCTCAGCCTCTGGAGCAGCTGGGATTACAGGCGCGTGCCACCACACCTGCTAATTTTTTGTATTTTAGTAGAGATGAGGTTTCACCATGTTGGCCAGGCCGGTCTCAAACTCCTGACCTCAAGTGATCTGCCCACCTCAGCCTCCCAAAGTTCTGAGATTACAGGTGTGAGCCACCGTGCCTGGCCCAGTCTTTAACTTTCAGGCCCCATGTGCCCCCAGCTGTAAGGGCTCACCCAGACTTTGCCATCTCCTTCCCCATATTCTTTTACCTAGTTTCCCCTAACAAAATCCTTGCATGCATGATCCCATCTTGTGGGGGCATCTGGGCACCCTGGCTAACACGTAACACTCCTCTGAGCTCCCTCTGAGGCTCTGGAATCCTAGGACTCTTGGGCCCCTCATGCTGAGCCCTGACTGGCCCTAGAATCAGGACTGAGCAAACCAAGGAGTGCTGGAGTCAGGAGGACACTCACCATGGACAAAAGAGCATCCTACCTACCCACGCTCCCCCGCGGCTGCCCGGGGCCTGGGACTTCATCGGGTCCTCTTCTCCCTGCTCTGTTGGGAGTCTCAGCCCTGCTTTTGTCTGGTCTGCCCTTTAGGGTATGTGAAGGGGGTGAGCATTTCTTGAAGGCCTCACAACACCCTCTGAGCAAAGTATTCTTCCCTGAATTTTACCCGCTTCACAGATGAGGCCCAGGGAGGAGCAGTGGGCTGTCCTCATGCAGTCTCACTGCTGGTGGGACCTGGGGTTCCTGTTCTCCCTGCCAGCCCCTCTCCCTCACCCCATCCTGCCTTCACCTCTCACAGGGACGATGAGAGGTGGCAAGGGAAGGTGGTGGCAGGTAAGGAAAGTGGGGAGGTGCCGGGGCCAGGAGGCGTCTTCTCAGGCCCATCTTGGGAGGCTGGGGGTTGCCATGGCACCCCTGGCCCGCCTTAGCCTCCCTGACCAAGCCCGGCTGCCTCTTCCCATAAAAGCTAAATTTACTCTTTTAACAAGTCCAGCACTGCATTAAAACACAATGGAATGTTTGGGAAAGGGAATGTTCTGTCATCTAGGGCCAGTGAGTCAGGAGGCCATGCTCAGCCTCTGTGGGGTCCAGCAGTGCCTCTGGAGTCAGGCAGAAGGCCCCCCCGCTCCGCCATGCCTCTTCTCCTCCTGGGAGGCAGGGCTGAGAGCCCCTACTGGAAGGCAGGAGGCCTGGGTGCTGTGCCCTGGGGCGGATCTCTCTGAGTCTGTTGCAGAACTTAAGTTCTTCTTTGGTCTCGGTGGCCCCCAAGGCCCTGTGGCTCGCCTCCATGGTGCTGGGTGTTCACCCGAGGCGCTCCCTCGAGGACAGTGCTTTCCCTGAAACCTTCCCAGTGGAGGTTGGTTTTCTCTACTCTGCATCTATCTCAGAACCAACACGTGGTTGGGTGCCATTTCTGCTCCCACTGGTACTTCCAGCATCTCTCCTCCCTCTTTTTTTGGAACCCCCAGCTCTTTCCGAAGCTCACCCA
The DNA here is from genome assembly GCF_000001405.40 of Homo sapiens. NCBI lineage: Eukaryota > Metazoa > Chordata > Mammalia > Primates > Hominidae > Homo > Homo sapiens. The sequence continues at coordinate 374,342 of NW_013171814.1, read as the reverse complement.
CCACCCTGCCCCAGGCCACACACTCTCTCTGTCCCCTCCTTGCTGTTACTTCCTAACTTCCTGGCCACTCTCCTCCATCTCTTGGGAGGCTGGCTCTGTCACTAGCATCTTGGGACTTTCCACATAGGGGACTACTGTCCATGTCTCAGTCCCTTGGCGACCTCACTTCTGGCCACCTCATCCTGTCACACAGTCCCAGGGTCATACCGTACCCTCATCACCACCAGAAACTGCACCACCTCTGAACCCTGATGTCAAGCTTCTCTTTCTCTGACCACCCCTCCTTCCTTCCCAGGTCTCTAACTCTAGACATTGACTTTCAGTCGTGACAGTTTTCCAGCCTCACCATTTTTGGCTCCTCTTTCCTCCTTCTCCTGTGTCTATTTGGGGAATCTCAACCTTAGTTGAACTCAGCTATTTCCCCCAAGAGCTGAACTTTGCTGGAGAAACCCCTGTGGCCGGGCTGATCGGGTCCCCTTCTGTGCATGATCACAACCTCGAAGTGGGGTCCTTGCTGCCTGGCAAGGCTGGTGTGCGTGGCAGGGATCTGCTGTCCCTCAAGGCTTCACACTTTCCTGAAACCTCTCACCCCCTGCCACTCACTGTTGGCCAGGCCTCTGACTTCACCCAGGAAAGGGAAGCACAGCTTCCTTCTCTGGCCTCCAGAATACCCTCACAACTCCCTGGAGCCTCTGTCTTTCCACCATCCAAGTGGAAGCCTGCAGACCTTCACCCCTTCCCCCAGGCCCATTCCTGGCACTTATCAAAGGATGAGAGTGGCTTAGTGGGTTTATTTACTTGTTCATTATCACTAGAAAATTATTATCCTGGCACCTGGCACCAAATAGGCACTCAATACATACCTCTTCGTGCATAAATGAATATATATTAGGGACAGTTAGCTTTACTAAGTAATATTTTAAAATTACAACGTTAACAAGGTATGCACTCAATACAAAAACTTCTGACAATGGAAAAGCATAAAGAAAGAAAAGGCAGAAATTAACCATAATTCTATCACTTGTTAATAACTGCTGTCAACTTTTGATGTGTATGCATTTGAAGTTTCCTACACATATATTTTTTCTTCTCGAAATGATACTTGGATAGATACAGATCACTATCTAACAATTGGTGATGAACATTTTCCTACATCTTCAGATATTCTTCTAAATCTTTTTAATAATTGCACAGTGTTCCATTGTATGGATGATCTTAATTTACTTAACCACTTCCTTAATGTTGGACATCTGTATTCTTTCCATATTTTTTATCTTCCCTATTTAGTCAATATCCTTATACATAAATATATGTGTACATTGTTTTCCCTGTGGCTGAATTCCTAAGTGGACTTGTAGGTCAAAGAGTACACATATTTTAAGGCTTTTGATTTATATTATTAAATCACAAGAGACAATTTGTTTTGGAAACCAAATCAACACAAACACAATCTCCTACTTTTCCAAGCATAACAAATCCCCTTCTGAAGCTCCAGAAGGCTCCTCCCTCAGAAATCCTCATGGCTAGGATTATCCTTTCCATCAACATTTTGCTTAAATGCCCCCTTATAGGCAAGGTCTTGATGGCTCTTCCATATAAAGTGGCACCTCTCCTTTTTTTTTTTTTTTTTTTTTGAGATGGAGTTTTGCTCTGTCACCCAGGCTGGAGTGCAGTGGCATGATCTCGGCTCACTTGCAACCTCCGCCTCCTGGGTTCAAGCGATTCTCCTGTATCGGCCTCCTGAGTAGCTGGGACTATAGGCGCCCGCCACCACACCTGGCTAGTTTTTTGCATTTTTAGTAGATATGGGGTTTCACCATGTTGGCCAGGCTGGTCTCGAACTCCTGACTTCAGGTGATCCACCCACCTTGGCCTCCCAGAGTGCTGGGATTACAGGCGTGAGCCACCACACCTGGCCTCTCCTTCTTTTTCATCCTCTACATCCTTTTTGCAGTTGCCTAGCTGCACTCAGCACCCCCTGACAAGTCTAATGTTTGTTTATGTCTGTCTCTTCCAGATCTATGAGAGTAGAATGTTTGTCTGTTTTGTTCCTCCTGTAGCCCCAGTGTCTTCACCTCGCCTGGCACAGAGTACATGCTCAACAAGCATTTTGCGAGTGAATGACTGAGTGTTGGCACTTCTAGTCTCAAACTAATGGTGATGATAATATTCGGGGCTCTATAGGAGCTGTTTTAAGTAGCAGAGGCAATTCATAGAAGAGAGATAAGGAAACAAACAAATAAAATTACTGCTTAATGTAGTCATTGCTGTGAAGGGGGGATACACTAAACACAGGGTGCGATACATAAACTGAGACCTGAGGGCTGAGCAGAAGTAGGTGTGAGAAGGGCATGGACAAGTGCATCCAGGCACATGGAACAGTGTGTAAAAAGGCCTTGAAGCAGGAAAGAGATTAGCAGGTTAAGGAATGGAAAGAAGGCCAGGGCCTGATCATAGCAGTCAGTGGGGTGAGAGCCACAGCGGGGAATGGGAGATCACCCATGTGCCGTGGATCAAGGAGCATGAGGAAGAATCCACTACTCAGAGGCTCCTACTCACGTTTCAGATCAGGGCAGTGGCCTCCAAAGCCCATTCTCTCCCTGAGTCTCATACACCATGGAGTCTCATCAAATTTACATTTAATGCATGAAACTTCCAGCTCCTTATTTTTAATGTAATAATGCCATAAGTAAATTTGCATATGTAGTCTTTATTACATACTGTCCATTATCCCATATTATGCTCACATACAAACACTATACTATATTGTACATATGAAACCTTTTACTTTACTTTATTTTATTTTTGGATAGGGTCTTACTCTGTTGCCCAGGCTAGAGTGCAGTGGCACAGTCATGCTCACTGCAGCCTTGACCTCCTAGGCTTAGGTGATCCTTCCACCTTAGCCTTCCAAGTAGCTGGACTACAGGCATACACCACCATGCTTGGCTAATTTTTATGTTTTTTGTAGAGACAAGTGAGCCCAGACTAGTCTTGAACCCCTGGGCTCAAGTGATCAGCCTGCCTCAGCCTCCCAAAATGCTGGGATTACAGGTGTAAGCCATCGCACCCACCCCATACAAAACCATTTATACCGTGTTTTATGGGGGTAAATTAAGGGATTTAAAAATGTTATTCTCTTTTTGTGCCCGGATTTAATTAATTAATTAATTTATTTATTTATTAACACAGAATTTTGCTGTGTCACCTAGGCTGGAGTGCAATGGCACGATCTTGGCTCACTGTAACCTCCACCTCCCAGGTTCAAGTGATTCTCCTGCCTCAGCCTGCTGAGTAGTTGGGATTACAGGCACCTGCCTCCACACCTGGCTAATTTTTGTATTTTTAGTAGAGATGGGGTTTCACTATGTTGGCCAGGCTGGTCTCGAACTCCTGACCTCAGGTGATCCACCCGCCTCGGCCTCCCAAACTATTGGGACCACACGTGTGAGCCACCGTGCCTGGCCCCTGATTTTATTTTTTATCAGATTTTCTCATTGTGCTTCATTGCTCAATATTTTATACTGACCTGTTTTCCAGTTCACTAATCTTCTATTAGTGACATCTAATCTGCTGTTAAACCCATTCATTGCTTGTTAATTATGATGATGATTATTTTTTGTAGTATTTTGTATTTGCCTAGAACTTCCATTTGATAACCTTTAGGAGTTTCCAGTTCTCCTTAAATTATTTATCTCTCCAATTTTTTTGAACATATCAATCACAATTATTTTAAAGTCTGCTATTTTAAATAATAATATCTGGATCTCCTTCAGGTTTATTCCTATTAGCTGTGTTTTTTTTCCACCTCTTAGTTTCAGTCATATGATCTTATCTCCTGTCATGCCTGGTAAATGTTATTGACTTCCAGACATGGTATATGGAAGGATTGTAGAGATAATTTGAGGCTCTGAATAATCCAGAGAGGATTTACTCTTGACTCTGGAAGGGAGATAGAGTAGAGGCAGCGCACTTTAATCCCATGTGGGATTAAGTTTGTTTGAAGCTGCACTTCAACCTTTGTGAGGGCTGACCTATTTCTGATTTGTGCTTCAAGGGTCCTAACTGACAGTTTTTTTTTTTTCTAAACAAGCCATCTCTCCACTTGGAGATGCTTGAGTTCTCCCCTTTCCTCTTTCTCTAACTCCAGGAGGTTGCAAAAACCTCAGTCTCCACTTCCTGCTCACATTCTGAACTTCATGCTACTGCTTAGGGGAAAAGTAGGGCCAAATGTTAAGCTCATCTTTCTAGATTCAAATTTTAAAAATGTATTTTATCTCTTTTTTCGGTTGGTGGCAAAGTTGGTGTGATATATAAGCTAGTCTACTGTAGCCAGAAGTAGAAATTGGCACAGATCTTAAAACCCACCCCTGCTGAGAAGTCATTCCAGTCCCCTGCTTCAACTTGGCCATTCAAAGGGTCAGCTTTGGCCTCCTCCTACTCTGACCACTTGCTCCCCATTCATACAGGGCTTGGCTGCTGCCTAGTGATGTTCATGGCCTGGAGGCTGCCTCTAAAATGGCTACCCTTCCAGCCCCAGCATCCAGGCTGGTCAAGATGGTAGTGGCCTGGTTTTTGCCAAGGCTCTGCCATCACAGAGTGGCCAGGCTCACTTCTGTCTGCTGACCAGCCTCACTCACACGCCATGCCTTCTGTAGCTCCCTCTTGTGCAGGCTCCACGCTCAGTGCTTAACATAAGTGGTCTCATTTCATCCTCATAGAAAGACTAGCAAGTAACTATAGTTATCTTCATTTTATAGATGAGGAAACTGAAGCCCTAGGGGTTTAGTCATAATCCCTGGCCACTTCATAGAATTACATATGTACTTAGGTGTTCAATTAATTTTCTCGTTCACCCTAGACTATAAGCAACATGAAGGCAGAAAATGTGTCTATACATCTATTTTATATCCTCATCATATGGCCATGCCTGGCACAAAGTCTGTAGGCAGTAACAACCACTGAAGCCAGGTGTGGTAGTGCAGCCTGTAATCCCAGCCACTCAGGAGGCTAAGCCGGGAGGATGGCTGAAGCCCAGGAGTTCGAGGCTGTAGTGTGCTGTGGTCACATCTGTGAATAGCCACTGCACTCCAGCCTGGGCAACATCGTGAGATTCCCATCCCAGAAAAACAAAACACAAAAACAAAAACAACCCAACCAAAATCAAAACCAAAAAGAAGCATTGAGTGAATAAATAAAGCTTCAAGTCCCAAAGTTGTTTGTGGTGGAGGCCAGACTCCAGGGAGTCCTGCCTGCTCACCACTCACATCACAGCTGGTGGGGAACACGTTCATTCACCAGAATGTTCCCAGTATCTTCTATGTGTTGAGATTCTAGTGGAGTTTCCTGCTGCCAGGGCTATAATTTTGGCAATTTCAGCGCTTTGGTGTTGGGGGTTCCATTGCCCTTAACCAAGGTCTGAGGACCCATATGGAACTGAGGAATGGACTCAAAAGCTTCTGACATTACAGTAAAAATTTGTAGAGAATTTTTCTAGAGAAAGGATCTATTCAATTTCTCAGACTCTCAGAGAGGTCTGGGACCTCCCCAAAAGGTCAAGAATCTTGGGCATAGGGTTTGGTTGCCTTGTCGGTCTCCCAACATTACCTCGCCTGGCCAGGGAGGGGCTTCCTGAAGCCACCCACAGCTTGTTGGGGGCCGACTGGAGAAACCAGCCAGTGTGTGAAGGGGAAGCCTTTTCCAGCCTGAGCAGGGTACCCAGAGCCCTCCAGCCAGCATTCTCGAAAATCCCTCAAGGTTAGGGGGTGGGTGTCACTCACCGAAGGACCATGAATAATGGAGATCTGGCCCTCTCAGGGCAGCCGCTGACAGGAAAGCCGCCCCACCGGCTCGGCGGCATATTTGTGTGGCTTCTGGTTCTGAGGCAACCGCCAGGTGAGGCAGGGGTGGCGGGGGTGGGTGTGTGGGAATTCCCAGGCCCCGGCTCAGCACTTTGAAGCGAAGACCCTGAGTCCATGTTGGAGGGGGCAGGAAGGCGCCACCAGTCCCTCGAAAGGAGACAGGAGGCTGCCGGGGCAACTTCTCCCTGCTCAGGCTGCCCTGGGTGCCCCCGGCCTGAGGATGAGGAGATTCTTGTTTAGTTTCGGAATCAGCAAGTCCACCTACAAGAACATCCTCTCAGAATCAGAAAGGTCTCTCCGTGTACATATTCTACCCCACACACAAAATCCTTACAATTTTTTTTTTCTTAGACGCACACTCTCAAAAACACGAGCACTCTCTTGTCTCACACACCAAATTCCCTGTCGTGTGCACATTTGTTTTCTCTTTCTCTCACACACAGGCTCACACCCGTTCATGACCAGGTTCGGGGGTGCTCCTGCAGACCTGGAGTCTGACCTTGGCCTCTGCGTCCACCTCAGGGTTCCTGAGGTGACCGGGTGGCTTCCTGGCTCCGCCTTTCTCAGTATTGTTCCCCACTGGTCAGCCCTGACAAGGTCACTTCCTACACAGAGTGTAGCAGACCTTGCTGGCCTCGCCCACCCCGCTGCGCTGTGAGCCACCGTCCTGCCCCTTCATCCCACAGGTCCTCTGACCTAGCCTGGCCCTGGGCACAGCCTTTGACAGGGAGTCAGGGGCCAGACCCTCCTTGTCACCCAACCCCAGTTGAGTTCAATAATTCTGTCTCAGAACTTAGAGGAGTTTAAGAGGGAGAAAATGTTTAAGAAAAGTCAAGAAAACCAAATTGTAATTTTATGTCCAGCTGTGACATGACTCACTTAGTGCACATCCTCCAACCCCCAGACCAGAAGCCTCCCCTGAGCCCACCATGGCTCCGGGGGGAGGTAGGGGTGACAGGAGTGGGAGGGATTGTGTTCCTGGAAGGTCCTTGGCCAGGGTAGTCCCTGAGAGACTCTAATGTCCTCTGGGGCTGAGTATTCCCTGCTGTGGCTGGGCTCAGGGAAAGCCACATTGCCGGGTGTCTGGACTTGGAGAAGGTCCTGACATGATGCTGCCATGGTTGCCCCATCAATGTAGCTGGGTCATGGGCAAAGGTGGCCTAAGACAGGATGATATTTAAAATATTTAGGTCTGGGCACAGTGGCTCAAACCCATAATGCCAGCGCTTTGGGAGGCTGAGGTGAGAGGATTGCTTGAGGCCAGGAGTCCAAGACAAGCCTGGGCAACATAGGGAGCCCTCGCCTCTCCAACAAACAAACAAACAAACAAAAAATTAGCACTCAGCACCAACTATGAGAACTGAGCTGGAACAGGACCCCAGAGGCCACCCCTGCCAAGCTGTGCCCGCCTTTAACCCTGTAGTTCCTAGATGTGGGCAGTTGTGGTGAGGTTGGTCCTGGGGGGTAAGAGGGGCAGGGATGGGACAGTGGCTATTCAGCAGTTGCTCCTGAAGAAGCAGCTGTGGGGACATATGTTGAGATTCTAGCTGAGTTCCTGCCATCAGGGGTATAATTTCGGCAGTTTCCAGATTTTGATAACATGTACACACACGGTTAGCAAGACACGGAGTGGGCTGCCTTGAGCCCATATGAGCTTTTGAAACCCTGAGGGGCTAATGATGAAGAGAGCAGGGGTGGGGGTTGGTGGCAGGGGACATGAGAGAGTAACACCAGCATTTAATATTGATGTAGCTCTCACTGTGTGCCTGATGCCTACTGAGTGACTTCCGCATATTACCTCACACGATAATTTAAACAGTGCTGTTGGCCTAGCACTTTGGGAGTCTGAGGTGGGTGGATCATTTGAGATCAGGAGGAGTTCGAGACCAGCCTGGTCAACATGGCGTCTCTACTAAAAATACAAAAATTAGCTGGGCGTGGTGGCAGACGCCTGTAGTCCCAGCTGCTCGGGAGGCTGAGGCAGGAGAATCACTTGAACCCAGCGGGTGGAGGTTGCAATGAGCAGAGATCGCGCCATTGCACTCCAGTCTAGGCAACAGAGCAAGACTCCATCTCAAAATAAATAAATAAATAAACAGTGCTGTTGAGATATATTTAAAGCCAAAGTGTACAATGTGCTATGTTTTGATACATGTATGTACCCACGAAATCATCACTACAAATAAGATAACGAACAAACCCATTGCCCCTCAACGTTTCCTCGGAACCCTTGGTAATTTCTCCATCCGGACCCTTCCTTTTGTCCTCAGGCAACCACTGACCTGCTTTCTGATGTTACAGAGTAGTTTTCGTTTTCTATAACTGTTTACAGAAGTAGCTCATTTAATATTTACAACGACCCTCTGAAGTGGCTACTACTTTTCTTGCCATCACCCCCATTTTACAGATGAGAAAATAGAGGCACAGGGAGGTTAAATGACTTGTCTGCAGTCACACCACATGGCCTGGGAGGGGTGGAGGCCAGGTGTGTGGCTTTGGAGCCTGGCCTACTGACCACAATACCGTACTGCCCCTCACTCGGGTGGAAGGACCCAAGCACAGGGGGGTGTCAGAGGCCAGAGGGAAGCAAGGAGGTCTCCTGTTTCAGAGGCCAGAGGGAAGCAAGGAGGTACCCTGTTTCAGAGGCCAGAGAGAAGCAAGGAGGTTCTCTGTTTCAGAGGCCAGAGGGAAGCAAGGAGGTTTTTGGGAGAGGGGTCAGAAAACGTCAGGATGTGAAGCTGGTGTGGGTAGCGTTAGGGGTCACGGCCAGGCTGGGCTTGGCTGCGGTGAGCTGTGGGCAGTAGGCAATGAACTGGCTCACAGCTCGAGTCAGGGTCTGGTGATCTTAGCAGGCCTGTGGAGCTTGTTCCCGCCACAGGAGGGGCCAGTGAGGGTGGCTGTCTCCCGCAAGCTTTTCCCTGTCTGTCCCTGGAGGCACCTTTGCTCCGCAGCGGCTTTCTGTCCTGTTATGGAGAAAAGCACTGATGGCCGGCTCTTCCCCTGCAGCCTGGCCTGGGGGCTGCAGCCAACCTGGGAAGGAGCTGCAGTCTGAGGATCCCTCTGGGTTCCCTCTGGCTGGGAACCCTGGGCAGACCTCGAGCCCTGGACCGAGACACCGTGGTCATGTGGTGCCTCCAGAGCAGCTGGCCAGGGCTGGGCACAGGGCACGATGTCTCCAAGGCTGCCAAAACATCTGCAGAAGACCCCAGATGCTTTCCAAATGCCCCTGCCACAGCGGAGCTTGGATGAGCAAAAGAGGAAGTGGAGCATCTGAACTCTTCTAGGGGCCACTCAAGGAAGGGGTTTCTGGAGAAGGCCGGTTTGGAGCAAGGCTTTGAGAGGGAGAACTTCAGGCACCATGACCAGCGATTTGGCCAGGATGACACTGGGCTCCCTCTCGCTAGCCTCTCTGTGATGATCACCAGTAGTAACTGATAAACCTGAAACAATGAATACTGACAAGAGGGCAGTAATCACTGTGATTTTACATTCGGCTAACTCGCTGCTGCAGAGATGGAGACTAGATGGTAAATAACGGGCAAAGACTGTAAATCACCCCGAAAACTGATCGATCCAGCAGCAGATTGACCCAACGTCCTCGCCCCGGTGCCTGGGTCTCGGGGGCCATCATAGGGGACAGCGCTGGGAGTCCCAGGGTTGCTCCGGTGCAGGAGTAGGGGTATCCCCACCCCGGGAGACTGGGCCTGAGTTCCAGTCCAGCTCTGCCAACTGCTTGCTGTGCTACTCTGGGCTGGTTGTTCGCCCACTCTGGGCTCGTCTTCCTTCAGCTGTGAAATGGTGGGCTCCGATATTCTACAATTCCAAGTCTCCTCTGCCCCACCCAGATACCTTAAGACTCCTGGACCCTTTTAGGAAGGGGCCAGTCCTGTCCAGACTCCTAGGAGGGCTCAGGCACCGGGAGGGAATAGAGTGGATGAGGGTCCTGCCAAGGCCCCTGCCTGGCCAGTGACAGGAAAGCAGTGGATCATGGCACAGGGAGCGATTTTACTGGAAAGATGAAAGGAAATTGCATCTTTAATAATTCACCGGCCGGTTTGAAGGGAGGCAGGTTGGCGGGGCTGTGGAGCCGCCAGGCGATCCCAGCCTCTGTTCCTGGAAATCCTCCGGCTCCAGAGCTTGCCCGAGAGACCCGGGGCCCTCCATCTCCTCCTGGCCCAGGGACAGCGGGAGCCGACAGAGTCTAGACCAGGGTGAGAGGTTAAAACACAGCCATCCTGGGAACCCACTAAATTGATATCCCCAGCAAAAAGGGAGCCAAAATAATCGATACAGCAGCGGCCCAGGAAAGTGGCCAAGCTCGAGCCCCAGCCCAGCCCGGTGGAGTCGCTGCAGAAAAGGAGGGCTTGGGCTCTAGCCAACTGCATGGGGCTTTGGCGAGCATACTGGCTTTGGGGGCTCTGCCTGGGGTCACCAAGAATGGAAAGGGACCTGGAGGCAGGCAGGGGTCACCAATGCTGAGTAGCCTGTCCAGCTAGTGGGGTGGGTGCAGGGGCCACACTGCCTGGTGTCCTCCATGGGTCCTCGTTTTGTCCTTCCTTCCTGGTCTCTCTCAGGTGGGAATGCTTTGGCTCATGCTGAAGCATCAGGACCTTCAGCTTGGGAGCCCTGAGTGCCAGATAGAGAAAGAAACAACTGAAGCCAGGAAGATGTGGCCCAGGACACAGATGGAAGGTGCCAAAGACAAAGCTAGCTGAAGAGTCAAAAGTTCTGGAGTCCACACATGTTGGTTTGACTCCCAGCCCAGTCCCTCGGGCAAATCACTCCTGGGCCTGCAGCCGGTCCCTGTGAATGGGACCTCAAGGGACACGAAGAGGTGCAAGACCTTGTGCTCCCAGGAGGAGCTTTGCATCTGTAGGCTATCGTCATTATTAGGCCTTTTCCTCAAAGGCTGTAGAATTGTGGTTGACTCCACTGAAATTTCAAAGCTCTCCTGGGTGGGTTAGCCTAGGTAGAAACGGGATTAGAGGGGAGTGAACTCCATAAAGGAGAACAGACTAGGGGATGGAGGGAATCTGGGGGCCAAAATGGGCTCACGCAGAACAGCTGTTAAAATCTGTCTCTCCTCCCTCCGTTCCTGCCTCCCTCTCCTGCTAATTAACAAAGACAACTCAAGAATTACAGAGAAGGCCAGGCGCGGTGGCTCACACCTATAATCCCAGCACTTTGGGAGGCCGAGGCAGGCGGATCACATGAGGTCAAGAGTTTGAGACCAGCCTGGCCAACATGGTGAAACCCCGTCTGTACTGAAAATACAAAAATTACCTGAGTGTGGTGGCACGTGCCTGTAATCCCAGCTACTTGGGAGGCTGAGGCAGGAGAATTGCTTGAACCTGGGAGGTGGAGGTTGCAGTGAGCTGAGACCTCGCCATTGTACTCTAGCCTGGGCAACAAGAGCGAAACTCCGTCTCAAAATAAATAAATAAATAAATAAATAAATAAATAAATAAATAAATCACAGAGAACCCACCTTAAAATCTAACATACCCATCCTTCTTTTACAGATGGGGGAACTGAGGCCCAAAGAACACTTTCATGAGCACCTAGCTGGTTGGGGTGGAAGCAGGACTAGAATTCTCTGCCGACTCTCAATCCAGTGCCCTTTCCCTGAGAGCAGGGGCCTCCAGTTCCCTTCTGCCCAGCTCTGATGCTGGGACGTGTGGTGTGGCCTCGAGGCCGCATGACTCACCCTGACTCACTGTCTGATCTTGGCCCATTCTGATCCTCTGAGGCTCAGCCTTCCTCCCTGGAAAACTAGAATAAGTCCCATCCCCAACCCCAGCCAACCTCAGGGGCCCCTCAGGAGGACCCCAGGGACTAGCACAACTTTAATTCTAGGTCAGCAAAACATTTCTTATCTGGCAGGTCCCATACTTTTGAAAGTCACCGGGGATGAGAAAGCAGGCAAAGATGGTTTCTGAGCAGATCAATGGGTGGCTTCGAACCCCCATTCATGCAGGAAAGCTCATGCTTTTTGGTATGAAAATGCCCCTCAGGCCCTCACTCAGGGCCTATTTCCTCTTACTCGGCAAATAGTTTGGGTAAGTTTGGTGGTCTAGTTTCTCAGGCCACAACAGGTATACTGATAGTAGTAAGAAGAATTTTATGATGACAGAGAAGGGAGAACAATTGTAAAATGCAGATCCAGTAATTAAAAAAGCAAGGCAGACGGGGTCTACCTTGACAATCCTGAGGCTAACCCCGTGTTGCAGTCTAGTCTACTCATTAGCCTTGTCAGAAGGACCTGAGTCACCAAGGAAGTCAACACACGCTGACTTCTGAGAAATTTGGGATGTGGAGGATCCCCCGGGGAAAGATTGCTACCAAAAAATGAAAATAAAAAGTTTTGCTATTTAAAGAGGTAGATTACAGCTACAGAAAATGAAGGTCTGTGTCACGCCTCATTCTGCACCATGCCAGGCGCCCGCGATGGAGACAGCTGGCCTTGGCTGAACATCAGAGCCCGCAGAACCCTCTTTAGTTTTCCTCCCCCATGGAGGTGCCTCCCACCTGGCCAATTAACTGGTTTTCCTGCTGTTCCTCACCGTTCCTCTCCCCTTTAATCCATTCTGCATGCTGCAGGAAGATGTCTCCCTTAATTCTTCCTGTCTTCTTCTGATAAAGAGACTCTGACTTTGACCGTTGTCTGCCTGACCCCAGGCAGCACTTGTTTGCACACTGGCAGCCCACCCTGAGGCCGACCTCGTGTGCTGGGTCAGCTCCCCACCAGGAGACTGGGTCCCTACGCCACTGCCTCGCTGGGTGGCCCCCTCTCCAGGTATTAACGACTCCATCACCAGAAGGTGCAGCTGTGTGTGGTCAGCAGAACACCTCATTGTGGGCTTTTCTTTACATGCCGCCCTCTCCGCCGCCTGCCAGGTTCCCCACTGGGAACACAGGAAGGGACTGTGGCATTCACCTGGACAGCGACTGGCCTTAAATCTTCAATTAGAGTGGCAACACTCGGCTTGAGGGTAGGGCAGGTGTGTCTTCCTTCTGTATCTCCCAGGGCAGGGCTCAGCTCTGTCTTGCACCCAGCAGGTGTTCAGGGTCAGCTGATGGGTGCTTAGTGGGGCGTTTGGTGGGTGACTCTTTGGCTCATTTGTTAGTGCTTCACTGAGGATGGTGAGGCCAGCAACCTAAGTCTCAGCTTCAAAAGTGCTTAGAAGTTCAGCCAAACCCCACACCAACACCTGTCCACTGACCCCAGTCCCAGTGGGTCCTAGCGGGAGAGCAGATAGGCTTTACTGCACGCCCACTGCCCAAGAGAATCAGCAGCAGACAGACCCAGCAAGGCGGGCGAGTCTCGTGGTTAAGAGGGAAGAGAGCCGTAATTTGTGGAGGACTCAAAGCTCATGCACTGTTTCTCCAAACAGTCTAGCAAGATGGGATTGTGCATTCCCATTTTCAGCAGATGAACCGAGGCTCAAAGAAGCCGAGTGAGCTGCCTGGCCTCACTAAACCTCTTCCTACCTCTCTCTGTGGACGTATCTGATTCATCGCTGTGTGGGGGACACCGAGTGTGTGCGTCAGGGTCAGCAGCAGGGCCTTGGCAGCAGAGGGGACCCTGTGAGAATCCTGCCGTCTTTCTAGTGCTGTGACCTGGGCCATGTTGGCCTCTCTCAACCCCAGGCCAAGTCCTCCCCTGTGTAAGATGGAGAAGGTCCCACCTCGGGCGTGGCGTGAGGAGATGAGGGCGCTTAGGTGGGTGCCTGGTTCGAGGCGTGCCCGTGGTGTTAGCTGTACCTCTGTGACCTTGGGCGAGTCCCTTCCCTGTAAGGGCCGCAGGGTCTTCATCTGTAAAACGAGAGGGTGGCTTTAAAGTGCCTTCCACATCCTGGTATCCTGGAGTATTTGGAGGGGCCACTGGGGAAAAGCGATGGAGGAACTTCTGGGGAGGGGCAGCAGGTGCAATTGATGGAAGGAGGTGGCCCCGGCATCCCCACTGCTTCTATAGAACCCAGGAGGGTGAGGGGTCTGTGGGGTCGTGTTCTGACCCATGCCCTGCACCGTGAAGGGGAGATTCCTCCAACACCATGGCTGAGGGGGCCGCAGTGTTGCTGGAACTCATCAAGGGCATAGGGTGTGGGGCTTTGCTCCCTTAGGAAGCGGCCTCCTCCACCGTTGGGCAGTTCCGGTTTCCAGAACATCATCCTTGTGTGGACCCGGCATCTCCCCCAGATCTCTTCTGAGCCTCCGACCAGGCGCCTCAAGCTGAGGGCATCCCTTGACCAGGAATATTTTCCTCGGCTCAGTCTGTCCAGACCGTTCCCTCCCTAACTAAGGGATAGTCCAGAGTTCTGGAAGGAAGGGCCTTCGTGAGGGGAGGCCAGCTGTGCCTGCCCACTGAGGACCTTCAGCCCGTTCTCTGCCATTGCAGACCCCGTGCCGGCCCCACTCCCAGGGGCAGGCGAAGGCTTGGCCACTGAGACACCTGTGTTTCTGGCTCTAGGACGTGGCACCCTCACAGCTAGGCCTCCCAGCTCTCCCTGCACAGAGGCCACCCAGCCTGGGAGGCTTGCAAAGTGCAGCACAAATTCACACACCCCACATCACACACACCCACACACAGCACACACACATACACCACACGCATACCACACTAATTCTCCATTCTCACACCATGTACACACAACGCAACCCTCTCCAACCACACATACCCCGCTCCCTGCGTGCGTGCGTATATACCACATCCCCCACCCCCACACAACACACAACACAACCCTCTCCAACCACACATACCCCGCTCCCTGCACGTGTGCGTATATACCACATCCCGCACCCCACACAACACACAACGCAACCCTCTCCAACCACACATACCCCGCTCCCTGCATGTGTGCGTATATACCACATCCCGCACCCCACACAACACACAACGCAACCCTCTCCAACCACACATACCCCGCTCCCTGCACGTGTGCGTATATACCACATCCCCCACCCCCACACAACACACAACGCAACCCTCTCCAACCACACATACCCCACTCCCTGCATGTGTGCGTATATACTACATCCCGCACCCCACACAACACACAACGCAACCCTCTCCAACCACACATACCTCGCTCCCTGCGTGTGTGCGTATATACCACATCCCGCACCCCACACAACACACAACGCAACCCTCTCCAACCACACATACCCCGCTCCCTGCGTGTGTGCGTATATACCACATCCCGCACCCCCACACAACACAGTCACACTCCACACCCAGAGAGTCTCACATGCAGCGCCCAGGTTGTGTCCTACACAAGGGTGCCCAGCTGTGGGTCTGAGGCAGCTCCCAGGGTTCTGGGGCAGGGCTGGGCACCTGGAGGAAGGGCACCTCCTAACTGGCACGAAGGTGCCCTCCGCACTGGCTAAGACTCTGGCACCCATGACCACAGAGCACTCCCCACCCACCTCCAGGCCTCTCTAGACAGTGAGACATCAGGCCCCTGAGGACCCCCAGCCCTCCCCACTGGAAGGCCCTGCCCGTGCCCCACCCTGTATTCCTCCCTGGCCCTGAGTGCCCTGCCTCGAGTATGTGGCTCCAGGCACAGCTGGCTCTTCCCTCCCCAAGCCCCTCAGTCCCTTAGTACCTGGACCATTCCCTTCATCCCCCACATGCTTATGGGGCACCTGCTGGGGCCAGGCCCTGGCTTAGTGCTGGGGAGACAGAGGGGACGAAGTCACGCTCATCCTCAGCAGGCATCTGCCATCTACACACCAATGGCCATGCCCAGGGAGCAGGACTGTGGCAGAACATCCCTGGCAGCTGTGGGAGCCCCGAGGGGTGATCTGTAACCCTGACTAGGGAGCAGTCAGGGAGAGCTTCCTGAAAGAGGTGGCAGTAGACAGAGGCACGTGCTTTCTAACTTCTGTGACTCACTGCATGCTGAGCTCTGCCCCTTCTCACCAGAAAGGGAGGCCATGGTGTGGATCAGAGACAGCCCATCTGCAGACCTGTGATCAGGAACAGTGAACCTCTGTGTTGCAGTTCCTGAGATTTGGGGCTTGTTAGTCACACAGTGACATGGCAGTAGCTAGGCAACACGGACCCTGAGCCCCCTTTCCAATCTGGCGACACACCTCATGAGTTACAGTCCCTCCCCACCTGCTCAGCCTCAGCACTTCTCCTTTTCCTCTAAGCTGCACCCGGCTGAGCCTTGCCCTGGCTGAACAGGACTGCACTGATGACGCGCCTGGGCCATGAGCCTCCCTCCCACCCATTTTGTTTGCCTTTGAGATGCCTTTGTGTCGTATGTTCTGCTGGGTCAGCAGGAGATTCAAGAGCCCTGACCTGAGCTCCCTGCACATTTCTGGGAACTGGAGGTGATGGAGTGGGCCGGGTGCCTTGTGTCTGATGTGTAGGTGGCATGATGTCAGGAATGGGGCAGAAAAAGGCTTCCAGGCTCCCGAGACACATTGAGTCCCATTGAGCATAGATGGCTATTAGGGACTTGTCTCTAGCACAGGGAGAAGGAGGCTGTGGCCCCTCTGAGAGGCCTTCTTTCAGTTCAGCTCCTAAGGATGGTCTTCCGGAAGCTCTCTGCATGATCTTTCACTTACCCAAGAAACATCAACATTTGCCCCCGAATGACACAGAATCACACTGGTGGTTAGGCTGACACAGCGTTTACACGGATTTGAAACTCTGTAGGTGTGACTGCTGGCTGCAGAAACTCCACTGAGTGCTGAAACATTCTAAGCCACAAAAAGTAAGATTTTAGAGTGTGCAGAATTGCAAGGGTCTGTGTATGCATACAAGTGTTGTTAAAATTGGCTTCTCACCTGCTTTAATCACACTTTTGTTATTTGGGGGAAATGCTATAGAATAAGTCTCTTTTCACCTTGCTAGCCTGTCTTGGTTCCCACTGGAAGTTTTCTTCTTTTGGCCTAGGTGGGTATTTGGGTTTCACCTGATTTGTTCTGGGAAGGGAGGGGAATGGTGGTCCTTCCTCTCTGGGGCTGGAAAGTGAAGCTTCGTCAAGCCCTGAATGGTCCCCATTGGAAGGCCTGGGCCAGGTGTTGGCTCTCTGTAGCACAGCAGATGCCACAGGCAGGGACCCTGCACCAGGACCTACCCAGAGTTGGGCTAGGCCTATGAGAGGTTGTCTGTTGTCTGGAAATTCCAGCTCCCAGGAGACTGACCATGCCAAGGTGGTTAAGGCATTGTCTCCTTTGCTTATTTCCTTATAGCACCCCCAGCACAAGGTGGGACCCAAGTAGGGGTTCACTTGAAAGACGTGGGCACAGGTGATGAGACTAGGAGACAGAGCATCACCCTTGAACCATCTCTGCTTCAGGTCAGCTGTGGGATCCTGGCCATATTATTATTATTATTATTATTATTATTATTATTATTATTATTATTATTATTATTTGAGATTAAGTCTCGCTCTGTCACCCAGGGTGGAGTGCAATGGCACGGTCTTGGCTCACTGCAATCTCTGCCTCCTGGGTTTAAGCGATTCTCCTGTCTCAGCCTCTCGAGTAGCTGGGATTACAGGCTGCGCCACCATGCCCGGCTAATTTTTTTGTATTTTTGTAGAGATGGGGTTTCACCATGTTGGCCAGGCTGGTCTTGAACTACTGACCTCAAGTGATCCACCCACCTTGGCCTCCCAAAGTGTTGGGATTACAGGCGTGAGCCACCATGCCTGGCCTCCTGGCCATATTATTTATTATTTTTTTTTAGAGACAGGTCTTGCTCTGTCACCCAGCCTGGAGTGCAGTGGTGCGACCACAGCTCACTGCAGCCTTGATTTCCTGGGCTCGAGTGATCCTCCTGCCTCAGCCCCCTGAGTAGCTGGGACTACAGGTGTGTGCCATCACGACCAGCTAGTTAAAAATATATATATTTTTTTGTAGAGATGGGGTCTTGTCATGTTGCTCAGGCTGGTCTCAAACTCCTGGGCTCAAGTGATCCTCCTGCCTCAGCTTCACGACGTGCTGGGATTACAGGCTTGAGCCACTGTGCCTGGCCTGGCCATATTGTAAGACTTAATCTGTCACCTGGGACTGATTCCACCCATGGAATGGATGCCCCCATGGGTTGCAGGAGACTCAGGACTCTGCCTGGGAGCCAGGGGATGCCCAGTGAATGGGGAGGCTGAAGATGGAGACCAGTTAGAATTATGGGACACTGAGCAGGAAGCACAGACCTGCACTCCACAGGCCTGGATCAGGGGACTCAGGCACAAAGGTGGCCTGGGTCCTCAGCCTGGTCCCCATACCCACCCACCAGTCCCATCTTAGGACTAAGAAGGCAGCAATTCGAGGCCTGGTCTTTGTGCCTACAGGTCCCATGACATGGGATTGTTACTCTGCTTCTGTGAGCCTGTCTCCCTTCTTTACAATGGTGTCAAAAACATGTCACCTGGCAGCGCTGTCGTAAGGATCGAACATAGTCATATATTTAAAGACTATAAAGCCCCATTCAAACCTATGGGATGGCTCTGTAAGCCTCAGTTTCCCCAGATTTGAAATGGATATAAGCATTGTATTTACTTCTTTCACGGGGCTCTGGTGAGACCGTAACCAGATAATGTGTGCTAAAGGGCTGCAGAGGGGAGAAAGTGCTGTGTGATGAATCGGGCTCTCAGGGGCCAGCCTCCTTAGCGCGGCAAACACAGCTGCTCTGGCTGGCGCTTGGAGCTGTCTGGCTGGCAGCCAGTCCAGGGCAGAGGCAGCTACTGCATCTGCTTCCAGCACGGGCCAACTGCTTCCTTGGAAGACTGCTTTTGAACCACTCCCCCTCCCCAGCCCTGAGTCACCCAGAGATCAGGTGGGCAGCAGAGAAAGGTGGGACTCCCAGCTCAGATGACACTCAGGTAGGGCCAATACACCTGTTAGGCATATACAAAGGGTGCTGCTATGGATGGCATGTTTTTGTGTCCCCTAAATGCATATGTTGAAATCCTAATCCCCAATATGATGGTATTAGGAGGTGCCTTTGGGAGGTGAGGAGGTCAGAGGGATGGAGCCCTTATCAATGGGGTTAGTGCCCTTATAAGGGAGACCCCAGCAAAGTCTCTTACTCTCTTTCTGCCATGAAGATCCAATAAATTAGCCACTGGGAAGTAGGCCCTCACCAGACCATGACTATGCTGGCACCCTGATTTGGGACATCCAACTTCTAGTATTTTAAGAAATAAATGTCTGTTGTTCATAAGCCACCAAGTCTATGGTACTTTGTTACAGATGCCTGAATGGACTAAGACAGGAGCCCACAAAATGTTTTTTAGGGGCCCACAAAGTGTTTTAATTTTTTTAAAATCAGGGGTAAAAAAATGAACTTCTAGGTGGGAGAAAATGTTTTAATAAAAATAATATATTTGTCTCTATTACCAATGTAGTCATAATATTTCCATTTTTTTTTTAAATGGAAGAAGGGGCCTATGAAGGCAAAAGTACCTAAGGCCCATAGGAGTGAGAATGCAGCCCGAGTCCATGGTATGGATTCTGTTCCACATTCAAGCAACTTGCCAGAGCCCCTGCCCCATGTTGCAGATGTGCCAGCCAGTGTTGTTTCAGCCAAGATGGCAGACCCTGAGATTGCAAAAGAGCACAGCAGCATGGCCTGCTGTCCCCAGACAATAATTCTGCACTACTTATGACAGCTCTCCATGGCCATCATCGTACTGTGTTCCAGGAGTGATGGATGGCGGCTCTCAACCATCTTTTCTCTTGCACCCATCCAAGGCATAGCACACATGTACCAGTAAGAAGAGGGGCTCCCCAAGGCCCAAATTCTGAAAATATTGGTGTGTATGTGTGTGCTGTTTTAGTATGTAGTTTGAAAATGTTCCCAGGCAATTCGGGTATTGACCCTGATGCTTGATATGTCCCCCTATCAGGGTCCCCCTCACTGGCCTGGGGGAAACTGGGATCCAGCAACACACACTGCACATATGATAATGGGTCCTTTTATAGAACGGCACCAAATTCTGCACCATCGCTCCTTCTGCCCACTCCACTGAAATCTCCTGATCTGAGGTATTTCATCATGGTCCTAGTTTCCACCAATGAAGCGGGAAGCCCACGTGGCCTGCCCGCAGCCTGCCGAGTCCCGGGGGCAGCTGGCTGCTCCTTTTGTCTGGCTGGTGTGACTGGCTGGCTCCCTGGGGCGCTGCAGGGATGAGGAGTCTGAAGGACCCACTCACTTTCTGGGCTCACCCTCGCCTTGGCTCTTCTGGTGATCAGCCTTTGGCGCATCTATAAAATGGGAATCGAAAACACTCACCTGCCTACTTCACGGGACCAGCTGAGACCGTGTAAGGAAGCCGCTGCGGAACTGCAGGAATGAGGGAGATCAGTAAGGCAGGACCACTTCTTTCCCATTTCAACTGCTCAACCCTTTATTTTTCTGCTATCATCATCTTTGCCTTGGTCCTTAAAAGGCCCTTATAAGTTACGCTGTGAGCATCCCAGTACAAATGTAAACAAACACTCTAAAATGACAAGAGAATGCCTACAAGCAGAAAGATGGTGGTGAAATCAGGATTGAAACATGTATTATTTCGATGCTGTGTCTCGTAGTATTCAGTAACTTAGGGCCTTCTGGAAGCAGGACTAGCCCATCCAGGAAAATCTCCTTTCTCTTTTGCAGGGTGTGATAAGGCTCTCTGTTCCTCATCGTCGCCCTACCTTTGATCTTGACCTCCAATGTCTGCTTCTACTGCTTTGCATTTTTATAAAAATAAATTTGGGCCTGGCACGGTGGCTCACGCCTGTAATCCCAACACCCTGGGAGGCCGAGGTGGGTGGATCACTTGAGGTCAGGAGTTTGAGACTAGCCTGGCCAACATGGCGAAAACTTGTCTCTACTAAAAATACAAAAATTAGGACTGGAAGCGGTGGTTCATGCCTGTAATCCCAGCACTTTCGGAGGCCAAGGCAGGCAGATTGCCTGAGCTCAGGAGTTCAAGACCGGCCTGGGCAACATGGTGAAACCCCACCTCTACTAAAATACAAAAAAAATTAGCCAGGCGTGGTGGTGTGTGCCTGTAATCCCAGCTACTTGGGAGGCTGAGGCAGGAAAATTGCTTGAACCTGGGAAGCAGAGGTTGCAATGAGCTGAGATCGTGCCATTGCACTCCAGGCTGAGTGACAGAGCGAGAGTCCATCATCATCTCAAAAAAAAAAAAAAAAAAAAAAAAAAAAAAATTGGCCCGCCACATACCTCAGTTGTTTAATTAAAATGTTCTCTCTCTCTACCCAGTCTGTGGACTTCTGGCTGTCCCTGTCAGTGTCATGGTGGGTGTGTGACTCAGTGAAGGGCAAGGCCCGAATCTCAACATGCCTTCACCCGGCTCCTGGGAGGCCCTGGCCGCCATTGTAGCCAGGCCAGGGAAGGAGGAAGGGAGTTGGTGCTCTGGTGCGACCCCTGCAAGGAGCTGAAGGACCAGCAAGTTCTAGCCAGAAAGAATCCCCAAGGAAAGGGGAGCGTTACCAGGAAACAGTGTCCCCAGTGCCTTGCCATAGACAAGATTGTGCAAAACAAGAGACATGTCATCACAGGAAAAGAAATCACTGGGCCCTTTGGGGACTCGTTGATGAAAGACTCATTTGACCAACTGGGACTGGACAGCCACTCGCTGTTGACTTTTGAAAGCCACTGGGCCCAAATCTCAGCCCTCTTGAAATGACTCATTGCCAAATGCCACAGTGACATTTCCAGGGAAGGGGTAGGTTTGGGGGGGGTTGGTTAAACCAAACCTTTAGTGCAAAAGCCATTTTGTCCAGGACTGGCTTGATCCTGGACAGGTCCAGGTCACTTTGGATAGGTCATAGTTAGTTCCCAGTTTTGGGGGATGTAAGTAAGTCTCCTTCACCCATGGTCTCCTGGACCAACTTCTTGCAAGAATCTTCCCCTCAGCTCATCTCCTGGGCCAGCTCCTGGAGGCCCTGCTAGTATAGCTGAGGCACATGAGCTTGGGGAAAAGGTTTCTTTTGCTGAACACACAAAGAGCACAGACTCTGGGCATTTTGTTTTTGGTGGTGGTGTTTATTTTTTTAAACCCACTTGTAGTTTGGGTTCAGCTGGAAAGCAGGACATACCGACGGAGGGAGGGTGGTCGCACTAGCGGGGTTCCGCGGCAGCTTTGGCGGGAAGCCCCAGGCCCTTGCTCTGGGGAGGTAGGTCCTGTCGTCCACTCCCAGCCGGCTCAGGGAGGCGGCCAGCCCTTCCGTGTGAGTGTTCCGCGCAGAGGAAAGTTGTCTTTCTTTCTTCTGATCTGTGTCCTCAAAGGCCCAGCCAATGGTTTCCCAACACAGTGCCCTGCAGCTGAGGGACACGACTCCCCAGGCAGGCCTGAGAGTCTGTCTGTCTGACAAGGAACACGGGCCGGTGTCTGATGCCAGAAAACAGACTGGGACTTGGCTTCTTGGAGGCCCGCGTCTGGGGCACCCCATGGGGCTGCTCTGGTGGCGGCCTGGCTGTCTGGGCCCCCGCCCCTACAGCTGCCCCGGCCTGATCTGTGGTACCCTTCCCACACCCCCCACCCTCATCCCTCGGAGAAAATAATAGAATAAAATAAAAATCAATCAGAATAAATACCGACTCGGCCAACATTTACATTTACATGGATGGACAGGACGATCCCCAAACAGTGAAGGTTTACAGACTGGTCAAGGAAGGACGAACAGAGAGAATGGGGTCTGAGGGTGCACATCCCGTGGAGGGTGGCGGGGCTCCTGGCCTCGTCTGGGTGAGGTTGGGGGCCTCGCTGGGGCTGCGGTCCCAGAGCTTCGGCAAAGCCACCAGGCCTTGGGGAGCAGGGCTGTGGCAAGCAGGCCGCCTCGGAGAAAAACAATGACTAACTCATCCTGACAGGCAGTGGGGAGACTGAGACAGGATCAACATCAGATGGCTGGACCGCCTCTTCCATGCGCCAAGAACCGCGGGCGAGGGGAAAGCAATGCAAGCCTTAGAAATGCAATATCCAGCTCTGCCTCTCATCACATACATTCAGAGGTCAACTCGGACGCGGCCTTCCTCATGCCACAGAGAGGGGATGGACTTGGGGAGGGGGCCAGGGTCTGTGGGGCATCCACTTCTGTCCTGCAGTTCCTGTCTGAGCAGTCTCCCTCGGGAAGCTGCCTCGGGGTCTCAAATTTTAGGCTTGACTGTTGTTTCTTTAAAAAAAAAATAGTCTTAACGTTTTCCTTCCATATCTGAAAAAGGAGCAGCAACCTGCATTTAGAAAAACAGCTTAAAGTGTTGTTGTTCAGATTGGCTAGGAAGCGCTTTCAAGCAGTGGAATAAACTAGGCAAACAGTATGTCTGGAGCCACCGTGACACGACATGTAATTAAAAATATATTTATATATGTATACATATTTATATTTCACTTCTTCTTCACACTCTGGTCCTAACAGCCAATGGGGAGCTGCCCCTGTGGCCAGGCCATCAAGGAGCCCGTTCGGAGGAAGGAGAATCAGGCCCCAAGGTGCCCACAACACAGCCCCCTCCACACAGTGTTTCGGAGCGTCCTGCGTGAAGCTTGCTCTGAGCTCACCGTTGGGTCTGGGAGACCCCACTCCCCTGCCTCCTCCCTGACCTGAGCTCCCACTCCCAGGTCTCTCCTCTCTTCGGGGGCCTTGCCTCCTCCTAGCGGACAAACCCCACATGCTTCAGGGGGGCAGGGGCCACTGAAGCACAGGTGGAGGCTGCCTGGCCACGATGGCAAGCTCGCCCTGGGGCCTGCCCTGAGCAGCCCCGCATCAGCCCGGCTCCTCCCTCGAGGCCTCCTACCCGCGGGGCATCTGTGTTCCCAGGCTGGGCTGGGGAGGAAGGGCAGTGAGGAGGAGCTTGAGAAAGTCTGGGAAGAAACCGTGGAGGGAGGAAGAAGGCAGGGTTCAGGGCCAGGGACCAGAGGTGGCGTGCGCTTCTTGGGAGAGACCACTGACCTGTTTCAGGTAAACTTGTGCCCCCTACACCTTGTCGCCAACAGGCTCTTTTTAGAGACAGGCAAAGGCTCCACACCTGGGACCAGAGGGCAGGTTGCAGCTGCAGGGAAAGCTGGAGAGAACTGGGGAAGCCTCTCCCCACTCGCCACTCTCAGACTCAGAATCAATCAATCACGAGAACCTTCCCCGCCCATCACCTCCCGGCCAGTCCAGTGTGGACCAAGAGGGGCCTCCAAAGTGACCCAGGGCCTGCCCGGCCTCAATAAAAGAGCAAATAAGGAAGCGGCTAGGCTCTGACATCATTTCCGGGGGGGCTCATCAAAGTGTGTGCTCCAGCCCCCAGAGATGGAGCTATGTGGACACCTGTTCCACCCCACACCTTCCTCTCCAGCCAACAACAGGGCCTGCTCCCCAGGACCAGGGCCTGCCAAGAAACCCCGTCTTGTTTCCCGGCTGGGAAGCTTCATCTGGCGACCCCGCTGGTCACCTGACTGTCCCTTCCATGACCCAGTGAATTCACCCCTTTCCCAAGAGCTCACGGAGGGCTGGGCTTCTACGTCCGAGCTGGGGCAGTGACACAGCGCATTAGCTAAAATCGAGTCCTGGGGAGCCCCCACTCCCATCCTTTTCCCCAGTAAGACCTGCGTGTGGAGCGCAAGACACCATCTAGAATTTTGGTTTTAATTTGCCAGTCTCGTTCTGTGCCCTGTTTGCCACAAGGCCCCTGGGGCCAGGACCAGGTTTAACTTGGTCCCAGTGGTGACAGTATCAGCCCTTTGAGAAAACAGAGGCGCTGGAAGCCAGTGGCGAGGAACACAGGATTCCAGCGGGGACCCCCCGCCGGGGCAGAAGTTTCCAATTACCCTAATTGGCTACTGGCAAGCTGTCTGTGGCTCGAATCCTTCTTCTAGAGGGGAGCTGGGTTTGATCTCCCACTAATCCGGGGGTCCTCAACAGTGCTGACTGTGTGATCACATCACGGGCATTTTCATTGGCCAAAGAGACTTCAAAGCAACCGACTTTTGAAAAATAAAACACAATAAACAAAAGAGTGCAAGTGGAACTGCAAACTCCATCTCCCCCGCTGCGCCTGACCCCCTAGGCCTGAGGCTGTGGGGGCTGCAGTGAGGAGGACTTGGAGGTGGGAGGTGGAGCGTCAGCTCTGCCATGGCTGACAAAGGCCGTCAATTACGGGCGGCTGGTGGGGACCGTGCCTGCCTTTGTCCTCCCGGACATCTGCTACACGTCGCCTGCTGCCAGTTGGCGACTGCGGCTGACAGCATGCGGGAACAATGCGAGCCCGTCTCCGACCCACTTTTTCAGCCTTCCGAGGTCCTTTCTGACCCAAGCGGTGCCCCGGCGTGCGAGGCTGCCAAGGTCTCCGAGGAGTCACAGCGATGAGATCCCTCACACAAAGCTCCGTGGGGGATGGGTCTGATGGGGAGGGGAGAGGCGGGAGTGAGGAAGGGGAGGGCCAGGGCCACCAGGAAAAAGAAACATGCTTCCCTTATTGGTGTGAGCTTGCATGCTCGGGCTGGGGGGCTTGTGCGGGGGCACTCCTCTCAGGGATTTGCTCCCTTCCCCGTCTGGCTCCAGACTGGCCACCGACTCTGCCTGCCCTCCTCCCCATTTCTTTCTCCCGCCAGGGCCACCCCTGTCCTCCCGCCTGTCCATCTGGCCCTGTGCACCAGGGCCCCAGCTGCCCGTGGGCCGCCTGCCAGGCCCCCTGGCTGTCAGGCTGTCAGTTTCTGGATGGTTCTGTTGTAGTACTGCGTGATGGGGGGCGTCAGAGGGTTCCAGCTGTTAGCGTGGAGCTCGATGACCTCTAGGAGCAGCGACCGGGTCAGCATGGACTCCGAGGGGCACAGCATCTTGTCCCGTGCGCTGGCCAGGAGCTCTGTCATCATCTCAGGCAGCTGTTCCTCCAGCAGCCGGCCTGTACTCTGCAGCTGCAGACAGAGATGTGGGGTTAGGATGGCCTCGGGTCCCACAGTGGCCCACTGGCCACCCTGATTAGGTGGGCAGGGATAGGAAATAGCTGGGTTGTCTTAAGGACACACAGGCCCAGACCCCTGTGCCACAGCTGGAATGAGGACAGGGAGAGTGGAAGGTGGAGTAGCCAAGAGTGAGAGCTCACATTTACCAACCAATCTGCCAGCAGGATCCAGAGGGATCCGAATATTGCCTACTGCCCAGGGCTGAAAGAGCTGTCACCAGGAACATGCCTCTTGTCCCTTTTACCCAAGAGCCTCCCTCTTCCAGGAAGCCTTCCCTGACTACATCCGCACCCTCAAATGGCTCCATGATCTGTGCCCCTTGGTGATCAGGGGGCCCTGTGGTCATTTTCACTTGCTGGGGCGTCTCTCTGGCAATGAGCTTAGTCATTATTACATGTGTCCATTGGAACTTGAGAGCAGGGGTGATGCCTCCTGTTTCTCTCGCTCTCCTTTTCTCCTGATCCTGATCCCATCTCCCAGCCCCCAGAAGTGACCTCTGCTCATGCTTGTGACAGGAAGTGGGGGAGAGAAATACAAACTGGGGAAGAAGGCCAGCCAGAGGCCGTCAGGAGAGCCCTAGATAATCTTGAAAAGCCCACTGGGAAGGAGCCCCTATTCCTGGACCAGCACACCCCTGGCCAGTGCCCCCCAGGCCCTCTCTATAGAATCTCAGTCCCCGTCTCGGTCCCCAGCCTTGTCCCATTCATTTTTCTAGTCTCTGCCTTCTTCACAAAGCCTCCCTTGAACCCCTGAGCCCTTCCTGACCTCTCTCCCCTGACTCTTCAGGGATGTCTCTGTACTTACACTTATTCTATCTACTCTCTGAGAGCTATTCCTAACCAGACTGGAAGCTGCCTGAGGGCAAGGACCAGGCTTTCTCCTTCTCCCTAATTCCCCCCTAATCCCAAGCCCCCTGTAGGGTGCCCAGCTGGAGGCCAACAAACAAACTGAGTCCCACAGACCCAAGACTGCCATCTGGCTCCCAGTGCTTCTGGCCTCTGAGCTCCTCAGTGAGGCCTTTGCAGCCAGGCGGAAGCCACCTGAGTATGCTTATGACAGCTGCCAGGCCCAGGTCCTCGTCTGGAAGCCCCTCTCCTGCCTGCATCCCACTCTGAGTGACTCTGGACCATCTGCAGAGGGCAGAGATCTGCCCAGGGACTGGGCCAAAGCCAGGCGCTAAAGGGAGAGCCCAGAGGAAGAGTCTCCATTAGCAGGGGCCACAGCTTAGGGACAGGAGTGGCACCTCCCAAGAGGTGTGCTTTCGGGTGGGCTGTGCCAGCACTGCATTGCCAAGCATTAGCAAAGCAAAGGGAAATATTTGAGGGCAGAGGTAATCAGGAACTTCTTAAGTCATTTGTGTGGCATGCCTGAGCTGGGGCGCAGGGGGTCTTTGGGGGACAGGGAAGTAGGCAATGCCACTGGGAATCACTTCTCTCTCCCTTCAGTCAGGGGTGAGCTGCTCTCACCATCAGTGTTCACTCTGGCTTGGGGTGGATAATTCTGGATGCAGAAGTCCATGCCCACTCCTGAAGCCATCCACCTACCTTCCCCTGGACTTGTAAATGCCTCCAACAACCCTCGTGCCCCTAGAACTGTTAAGGCATGAGAGATGCACCGGCTTTGAGGTTGGGGATGTCGAAGCCCCAAAGCTTACCTCCATAGAGCAGCAAAGGACAGCATCTTCCTTCACATCCTGAGATTGCAAGAGCTGTGGAAGAGAGGGGCAGAGAGCACCACTGAAGGAGACATGCCGGCTACTGGGCCCTGTAGCTCCCTGCAGCCCCCGCCGACCTGCAGCCCCAGCCCTGATGCGGCCTGTAACAAACATCTCCAAGGTTCAGGCTAGAGTGAGAGCCCACAAAAGTCAGAGAGCAGAAAGTCAGTTGCGCCGGGTGGCCGTGATTTCTCCGACAGGGTTAGAGCAGCTGGAGGTCAGTGTGATGGTGCGATGTGGAGCCCCTGGGCCAGGTCTGAACACCGTGATTCAAGAGGCCACTGAAGAGAAAGCCTGCAGCAGTGAGTGCGCTGGGATCATCCAGTGTTAACAACTGGTCAGCAGAAGTCCTCAGGGAAATGAAATTAGCTTAGAGACGTATAATTGGTAACTCCTCTATGGGTGAGGAGGTTCAGCCATTGACTCAGGCACCCCTGGGCCCTGGCCACAGGAGGAAGTCCAGGAGTCAAAGCCCTCTTCTCCACTGGCCCAGTGCTGTAGACTTTCAAACCCACAAACCTGTGGACTTACTCAGGGGCTGGAACTGTTTCCTAACTAGGGCCATGGCTGGGCTGCTCAGCGCTCAGTCCTGCCGTGCTACAGTCCATGCTTCCCCCGACTTGCCTGGCTCATTCTCTCAATCTCTCTGTCTCTTTTAAATTGAGATACCATTCACATAACACAAAATCCACCATTTTAAAGTATATAATGCAGTGCTTTTTAGGATATCCCCAGAATTGTGCAACCATCACCACTATTTAAGTTCTGAACATTTTCATCACTCCCCATACAAACCCATACCCACTAGCAGCCATTCCCTGTTCCTCCTCACTCCAGCCTCTGGCAACTCCCCCCGATTCTATGTCTCTATGGAGTTGCCCGTGCTGGACATTTTATAGAAATAGAATCACACAATATGTGGCCTTTTGTGATTGACTTCTTTCACTTAATGTTTTCAGGGTTCATTCATGTTGTAGCATATACCAGTATCTCATTCCTTTCTGTGGCTGACTAATATTCCATTGTAAGGATATGTCACATTTTGTTTATCCATTCATCTGTTAATGGACTTTTGCGTTGTTTCCACCTTTTAGCTATTAGGAATAGTGCTGCTATGAACCTTCGTGTACCAGGCTTTTCCTGGATGCATGTTTTCAATTCTCCTGGATATTACATAGGATTAGAATTTCTGGGTCATGTGGTAACTCTATGTTCAGCTTTTTGAGTAGCTGCAAGACTGTTTTCCCACAATGGCTCCATCATTTTACACTCTCACTAGCAATGCATGAGGGTTCTGGTTTCTCTACAGCCTCACCAATGCTTGCTATGTCCCAGTTTTCTGATTCACTCTCTCTTGAAGCCCCAGCAGCACTGGTGTGCTGACACCGAGTGCCTGAAACCCTCTCTGGGCGTGGCTTCCGAGAAGCTCACCAAGCCCCACGGACCACTCCTACCACAGCCCTCTTTGCTGGCTAATGCTTTTTCTCTCAGTTCCTAAAACAGGCATTCCTCCAATATTTTCCTCCCCAAATAGTTATTGTCAAGCTTCTGCTCTTCTCAATGCCGTCCCCTCCTGCCATGTCGATCATCACGACTCTCAGGGACCCCACATCTAGCTCGTCTGCACGAACCTTCCCACACTCATTGGGCTTCACTTTCTGGATGACACTATGGCTTTATCATCTTTGCCTCAAAGCAGCTCCATGTCACCTCCAGCTCAAAACCTCAGTCATTTTGCTCTCCCCTTACCATCCATAACCAAGAAGGTACCAGGTTCTGGTAGTTTTCCTGGTAAAACGTCCTGGAGACATTTTAGTCCCACTTTTCCAGGTCCCTGGCCTTACTCAAAGGTGAGGTTTTGTTGCTTCCCTCATGGAGGACTGTCCCGCGTCCTGATGCGTCATCCTGGTCCCCACTTCCTTCCCCTGCAATTTATCTTGTACACAACTGGCCAGAGTGATCTTCCTAGCATGCCACAGCCCACGCTACTGTCCCGCTTAGGAGATGTTGGACGCAGAGACGGTTCTGTTGCTGGCAAACTCGAGAGCATCACCTAGTCACAGGGATCCAGGTCAGGCCACAGTTAACTCCTAACCCACAACTCAAGGGAGCCCAGTAACCAACATCTAACTCAATTCATGCAAAGGTGATTCACTGCTTTTATGGAGAAGCATTTTGGCACATTTCATGTACAGAAATCCTTGAACTATGTCTAGTAGGTACTCAAATATTGAGTGGAATGTGGAATGAATGAAAATATACTACATGCTGTATAAACCATAACAACAACCTTCCTACAACTTCCATAACCTCAAAGTCAGTAGAGATCAATCAGACTACAGACTGGGTCTCTCTGATCTCAACACAGTCCTGTTCCAGATGCCAGGTCTCCTTGATCACACTGTAGAGAGATGCCGAGGTGGCACTTCGAAAGCAGCACAGATCTACCAAAACAAAAGAGACAAAGTCACAAGTACCTGCCGAGCGCCTGCGCCAGGCCAGCACAGTTCACTGCAGAGAACAAGACAGACCAGGCCCTGCTCCAGGGCGGTGGAAATGCAGCTCCGGGGCGGTGGAAATGCAGAAAACAAACCAATAAACATCTCTATCAGATGGCGGTAAGCACTGTGATGCAAAGCAGCACTTGTGAGGTGATGAATATGTCAATGAGTGTGGTTGAATCACTCCACATTGTATACATCTTGATCACAGCTCACTGTAACCTCAAACTCTTAGGCTCGAGCAATCCTCTGTCCTCAGCCTCCTGCGTAGATGGGACCACAGGTGCAGGCCATCATGCCCTGCTAATTTTTTTTTATTTTTTGTAGAGACAGGGTCTCTCTATGTTGCCCAGGCTGATCTTGAACTCCTGGCCTCAAGTGATCCTCCTGCCTTGGCCTCCCAAAGCACTGAGATTATAGGTGTGAGCCACCATGCTTGGCCTGGTTTATGTCTTAAGGGGACCATTCTGCCTGCTGTAGGAGGGAAGGGTGGACATTGAGGGACCTGGCCAGGCATGGTGGCAGTGTGGCCTAGGGCAGCAGCAGGGGCAGAGAGCAAGACGGGTCAGGCCTGCACACGTTTGCCTCTAGAGTGGATGGGGAAGGTGAGAGCTTGGGGCCAGGGAGAAATCATTTCTACTTCAGGCCCCTCTTTGGTTAAAGCCATGGGTTTCCATGACTTCTTCCCATGCAGGTTAAAGGGCCGCACTCCATAGCTGGTGTTTAGACTCCAAATGACTTTGTATCTTTGGGGCTCTCCATCCTCTCTCCATCCTTTAAGGCTGGGTCACTTCCCAGCTGTTCCTCGGACCCTTCCTGACCACCCCAGTCCCTGCCCTCCCTGCTTCTCACTCCCAGGCACTCCTGCTTTCCCCCCCATGCACATTCCACACAAGTTAAGACATTTTCCAGGGTGAACTGTCGGCTTCTTGAAGTCAGGGACAGTGCCAAATTCATCTCTGCTGCCCTTTAACCCCAAGCAAAGCCCCTGGCAACAGTGGGGATTCATGAACTGTTGGTCAACATGATTTATGCATTTCTTTTTTGCATTTTTAAAAGGAAGGGTAGAAGGTGAGAAGAGGGTAAAAGATGGCATTCTGAGGGCACATCCTCATTTACTCACGGAGAGCTGGAGCCAAAGTTTTAATCTGGGCATGATATAGTCAAGAAGGAGAGGCAAAATCATGCCCAGCCAACCCTGGGGACTGGTCATGTTGCTGGCTCAAAATCTGCATTCTGCACATCCTTAATTCTTCCTGTCTCCTGTCACGTTGCATCCATCCACCCAGCCTAGGGGCCCCGCAGCAGGAGCTACAGCATTCACCACAGGAGCTGAGGACCCACGGCAGGCTTGGCTGCAGGCCAAACTAGGGTGCAGGCTCCAGGGCCGTAGGAGTGCTTGATTGGCCAGAGCCACTTTCAGGGACCAGACCTCATTCTCCTTGGTAACTTGGTCAGAACTGGCCTGAGAACTGGGTTTGCAGCAGATACACAGAAAAGAAATCGTTTTGGGATGAGTGAGCAGAGGTGGGCCTTAAACTGCTCAAATGATGAGCAGGTGGAGAGCAACGGTCAACCCAGGGGAGGGAACAGTATGGGCTGCACACGTGACAGGCACTGAGGACCCTCGGGGTCTCGCATCCCACCCACATATTTCCAACTCTGGGCCTCTGCATACTTGTCGCTGGAAATTCTTGGCCACCGCAGATCCACAGACCTCACTCCCTCATCCTATGCAGGGCTCTGCCCAAACATCCCCAGGGCAGACAGGCCTTCCCTGAGCAGCCACCATCCCCCACCTACCTCCCAGCTCACCCTTTTCTGCGGCCCCTGACATATTATATACTTGTTTGCCTATTGCCCGTCTCCCCGCTCTAGAAGGCAAGCTCCATGAGGGTAGGGCGATGTCGGTCCACTGCTCTCCCCAACATCTGGCACACACTGGAAAATATTTGCTCAGAAACATGCTTTGGGAGGCAGGGAGAAAACTCGCCCAGCTGAGAGTCTGTGACAGGAAAGGAAAATGCTCACCCAGAGAGACTGCTTGCAAGGCCCTCTGATGCACGTACCTTTGAAAAGATGAGAGTGAGGGGGATGTGGTTACCTACCCCTCCCCATACCCCTGTCACCAGAAGGGACATGGCACAGAATTATTATCGATGCGTCTGCAAACATAGAGTGCTTGTAGAAATACAAGCTGGTATCACTCTATAGATGGCAATTTGGTGATAATCATCAACAACAGAAGTGTCCAAAACCCTCTGACCCAGCAATATTACTTCTAGGAATTTATCCCACACATATAACCACACACATGCCATACAACACGTGTACACTAGTTGCTATACTATTTTTAGAGCAAAAGATTGAAAGTAACCTGGACCTCTCCCAACAAGGGGACTGGTTAAGTAGTTACAGTATGCCCATGTGGGCTACTCTGGGGCAGTGACCCCTCTCCCGCACTGGGGTCTGCGGATCCCCAAGGAGAGCCAAGGGAGGCTTCCACCAGTCAGTGCCTGGGGGACTTTCTTGGGCCACAGGCAACGGTCTCCCTCATCTAGAGGACCCAAGAGGCCGGGATAAAGATTAGTAAGCAGGTTCTAGAAAAAGTTGGAGGTGGGGGGTGTGACTCATCCTGCAGCAAGCCTACCTGAGTCATGGGGTCCAACATCCAACTGCGAGGGGCTGGTTCAGGGCCTGGGAGGGTCCTGTGACTGTCTGGGACTGGGATCGGAGGGAAAGGTGGGCCTAGCCACACTTACTCAGCAGGGAAAATGGGGATTAACATCAGGAGAATTCTGTGTGGTCTTGCTGGAACTTTTTTTTTTTTTTTTTTTTTTTTTTTTTAAGACAGGGTCTCACTCTGTCCCCCAGGGCAGAGTGCAGTGATACAATCATAGCTCACTATAGCCTCAACCTGCTGGGCTTAAGCAATCTTCCAGCCTCAGCCTCCCAAGTAACTGGGAGCAGGGGTGCACCACCATGTCTGGCTAATTTTTAAAAAATTTTTTACTAGAGACGAGATCTCACTATGTTGCCCAGGCTGGTTTTGAACTCCTGAGCTCAAGTGATCCTCCCACCTTGGCCTTCCAAAGTGCTAGGTAAATTATAGGCATGAACCACCCCACCTAGGCTGGAACTTCTTTCTTATAGTAAATTTCCCTCATATGCTTCCCTAGGGTGCTTAGCAGGAAAAAAAAATCCTTAAAATAAAAATTGCTGGTAGAAATCACAGGAAAGGGGGAAGGTAAGTATCTGGTGGGAATGAAACTCCAGACAGAGTGGGTGGTGGCCCTGGGTGGGGAAGAGGCAGAACCCGGGAGCTGATGCGAAGGAAGGGAGGGCAGCTGGGGAAGCAGCCGCAGGCGGATGTCGCTGGCTGACACAGTGGGGCTGCTCAGTCAATGCTTCTCCCGGGGAGGGAAGTGCGCCTGGGGCCCTGGTGTGTCCTGAGACTAGCTTCTCAGGGGGCTCTGGTCCCTTGCCTGTGCCTGCCAGGTTCTGAGGTTTAGGGACAAGTGAAGTAATAATATGAGAAATTTCGAGAAGAGCCAGGGCCTGCCAGGCACTAGAGGCTCTCAATGTGGCTGCATCTCCCTCCGAGGAGAGAGGGAGACGCTGACAGGGCTGCGTGGAAGCCTCCCGGAGTCCCAGGGGTGTTGACAGTGAGCGCTTTGCCCTGACAATCAAGGGTCTCCTCCTCGTCTCTTCTGCAGCCCACAGCCTGCGTGCCTTCCACTTTCTGTGATGGGGCTGCTTGGGCCTGCAGAGCGGTTCCACAGTCTCCCTGCTCTTTTTCTTCCCTTCTCGTATCTTTGTGACTTCCCCTTCCCATGCCTTCTTCCCTGGGCACGCCCAAACTCCCCGCAGGCAGGCTCCTGGGGCCACTGCCCCTGCTCCCCCTACTCCCCCAACTCCTGTCAGGGCAGAGGACAGACTGCCCAGGGCCCTAAGGCAGAGCTGGGGGCGGGTTCTCAACCCTAGAGCCCCCCCTTCCAACCTTATCTTTCTCTGGGTTGTTTGGGAAAGTCTGCATGAAGCCAAAAACCACATTGTGCGAGAGGCCCTCTTGCAAACGGCCTGCTGGGTTTTCTCAAGGAAGTCAGGGAAGGAGTTTCTCATCTTACTTGTCCCTCCCAGTTGCTGGAACGCAGAGAGCACAGGAAGGGCCTTGGTGGCTGCAGACCATGTCCTGTCCTCCCCACACACACCTGCTTGGTTGCTGGCTTTTGAGAGTGGATTCTCAGACCCTTCGGGGTGAAGGGATGGTGGAGGATGCTCCCTCAGCCTCCCTTGGATGGGGCACACAGCTGAAGGCCCCACCTGCTGCTCTGTGTCAGAACAAGGGTCTGGCCTGCCTCTTCCAGGGGGCCCTTGGCACAACTCCACAGGCTTCCTCCCTGGGGCCCCGTCAGTGCCATTGCCCTCCCGGGCTCTCCATGCTTCAGGGTGACCAATGGCTGCCCAGAAATCCCTACTGAACTTGCCTTTAGTGGGTATCATCCCAAGGGAAGAACCTTTCCAGTCTTGTCTATCTTGGCCTAAATGACCTGTCCTATGTCCCATTTCTTCAGGGCTCTGATTTCCTAAGAGACAGCTCATTTTGGGGATAAACGAATCCCTGCCAGTACGGAGAGGGCCGACTAGCTCTCTCATTTATGTATGTTCTATTTGGGATCGCCAGGAGACAACAGCTTCACTTAGCTCAAACACAGATCTCAAAAATTAGCGGCATCTTGAACAGTGACTTGGACACTCATGTTCCCAGCAGCATTACTGACAATAGCAAGAGGCGGAACAACCCAAGTGTTCACTGAAAGATGAATAAATAAACAAGTGGTAAATCCATACAAGGGGAATATCACCCAGTCTTAAAAAGGAAGGCCATTGAGACACATGCCACAACACGGACGAGCCCCGAAGACATTATGCTAAGTGAAATAAGTCAGGCAC
The DNA here is from genome assembly GCF_000001405.40 of Homo sapiens. Taxonomy (NCBI): domain Eukaryota; kingdom Metazoa; phylum Chordata; class Mammalia; order Primates; family Hominidae; genus Homo; species Homo sapiens. Next base: position 339,397 of record NW_013171814.1, on the reverse strand, counting down.
AGAAGAACAAACACTGTATGATTCCACTTCTATGAGGTCCCTAGAGTAGTCAAATTCATACAGACAGGGAGCAGAATGGTGGGTGCCAGGAACTGGGAAGAGGGAGGATGGGGAGTGTTTCATGGGGACAGAGTTTCAGCTGGGGAAGGTGAAACAGTTCTGGAGATGGACGGTGGGGATGGTTGCCCAACAGTGTGAATACGCTTAATGCCAAAGAAGTGCACCCTTAAAAATGGTTAAAATGGGCCGGGCACGGTGGCTCACGCCTGTAATCCCAGCACTTTGGGAGGTCGAGACGGGTGGATCACGATGTCAAGAGATCAAGATCAACCTGGCCAACATGGTGAAACCCCGTCTCTATTAAAAATACAAAAATTAGCTGGGTGTGGTGGTGCGGGCCTGTAGTCCCAGCTACTCGGGAGGCTGAGGCAGGAGAATTGCTTGAACCCAGGAGGCAGAGGTTGCAGTGAGCTGAGATCGTGCCACTGCATTCCAGCCTGGCGATAGAGTGAAACTCTGTCTCAAAAAAAAAAAAAAAAAAAAAAGTTTAAAATGGTAAGCTTTACATAATGTTATATGTATATGTATGTATTTATTAACCAATAAAAAATGGTTTTTAAAAAAATGGCAGGCTGAGCGGGGTGGCTCATGCCTGTAATCCTAGCACTTTGGGAGGCCAAGGTGGGTGGATCACTTGAGTCCAGGAGTTTAAGACCAGCCTGGACAACATGGCAAAACCCCATCTCTACTAAAAATACAAAAATTTGCCAGGCATGGTGGCAGACGCCTGTAATTCTAGCTACTTGGGATGCTGAGGCAGGAGAATCGCTTGAACCCAGGTCGCAGAGGTTGCAGTGAGCCGAGATCTCACGACTGCACTCCTGCCTGACCGACAGAGTAAGACTCTGTCTCAAAAAAAAAAAAAAAAAAAAAAAAGGCATTGGTAGGAGCAGGCACCCTCTGTGTGGGCAGGACTGTCCCTCTCCTCTGCTGTCACCTCTGGAAGACGAGCTGCATCCATGAAGGAGACCAGCCTGCTCTACCTGGGGGTCAGAGGCCCTGGGGTCGGGGGAGGAGCAGCCCACTCATCAGAGTCTCTGGCACTGACGGGGATGTGGGCGGGCTGGGGCAGGCAAGCCTCCCGTGCCCTCGAACGGCAAAATGTGTTTCTTGGACAAGAATCCAAGGCAATTGTGCGAGCCCACACAGTGTTTGTTCGGAAGCGAATGCATTCCTGTCCTATTGTCTCTGGCGGAGACTTGTTGTGGGCACGCCCATCATATCCTCCCTCAGGGAGAAACCAAGGTGCTCCAGTCAGGCTGTGGCTGTGGGAGGCCCCACAGCAGCCAGGGAGAAAGGCAGCCTGGTGGGAGTCTCCTGGAGTCCCTGGGGGAAGGGCCACGGGCACAGGCAGGCTGCCCAAGGCATGCCCAGGATGTAACCAGGCTGGTAGCTTGGGATGCCACCCTGCAGGGAGGGAAAGGGGGTGCTGAGAACTCATGGGGCAGCCTCGCTGTGCAGGGAGGGATGAGCACTGGCAATCCCAACATCTTGCCTTGCTAGTGAGGGGTGCAGTGTCCATCCAAGCCGGGCTGGCCAGCCCACCTTGACCACCTCAGCTCACCCACAGCACAGCCTTCTACTGTGGGAGAGCAAACCCAAGCCACCTAATGCAGCTGCAGAAAAAGCTCAGCCCAGCCCCTGCCTGGAGGAGCCTCCTTCCTTTGGTAGCGACTGGAGGTGGCCACAGGGGCAGCCATGAGGGAGCCAAAGTGGGAGGTTTGCAGAGGGCTGTGATTGGCGGGAGAACAAAGCCAGCCTGGGAGCTGAGGTTGGCTGGCTGGGCCGGTGGATGAGCCAGGGCTGTGGGGGGACAAGCTGAAGGTGTGGAAAGAATTGTAGGGCAGGAGAGAGGGAAACAAAGAAGAAAAGATAGTGACGGGTAAAGGCCGTGGTGGCGGAGGAAGCCACAGAAATGGGCACACATGCTGACAGTGGAGACAAAGGGGACAGGGGGAAGAATGAGGCAGAGTCAGAAGAACCACACCTGCAGGGCTCTAGGATGGTTGCCACCTACACGTCAGGAGTACCCTCCGGGACAGCTGGCCCATCCACCCTGTGCCTCTGCGGGACCTGGACCTGTACCTACAGCCAAACCTGGAGGACAGCCCAGGGACTGTGCCTATGGTAATGACGAGTCATCAAGAAAAGGGCCAATTATGTCTAGGTCTCCGTTCAGGGAGGCAGGGAAGTAGATAATCTATCCAAGAAAGGCTATCATCAAAAATGGGCATCAGGCTTGGAGTCAGAAGACCTGCTACACACTAAGACCAGCCCCTGGCATGCCACTTAATCACTCTGCATCTCAGCTTCCTCACCTGAGAACAGGGATAGTATCTGCCTAGGATTGTTTGGAGAGTCAATTGAAATAACGTATGTGAAAGAGCTTTGATAAGTGCAAAGCTTGATTCAAACGTAAGGTGTTATTATTGTTATGATGTTTCTATCTTTATAAACATGTATCTTCCCTGAAGATCTCAACATGCTTTGTATGCACCATTCCTTTTACCCTCATGACACTCCTGTGGAGACAGGGAAAGGCCACAGGTATTATCATATCTGCTTAATTGGTAGAGAAACTGAGGCTCAGTAGTTAAGTGGCTTGCACAACCCAGACAGACAGCAGGTCTAAGTGGAAATGGAAGGTGCTGGAGAGTCCTGGATCTGTGCTCTCTCCTTTACGGAATGATATTAATTTCCCACATTAGCTAATTCTTATTTTGCTGGTTGGAGCTCATAATTTTTTTTTTTTTTTTTTTTTGAGACGGAGTCTTGCTCTGTCACCAGGCTGGAATGCAGTAGCGTGATCTCGGCTCACTGCAACCTCTGCTTCCCGGGTTCAAGCGATTCTCCTGCCTCAGCCTCCTGAGGAGCTGGGACTACAGGCACGCACCACCACGACCAGCTAATTTTTGTATTTTTAGTAGAGATGGGGTTTCACCATGTTGGCCGGGATGGTCTCCATCTCTTGACCTCGTGATTTGCCTGCCTCAGCCTCCCAAAGTGCTGGTATTACAGGTGTGAGCCACCATGTCCGGCTGGAGCTCATAATTTTTAATTGTGTTGACTGGTGACAGGTCAACCTGAGCCTTCACAAAATTGAACTGATTTTACCTATTCTTTGTCTGTATTGGCCACTACCTATCCCTCCATCCACTCATCCACCCTTTTATCCATCTGTCTACTTGCCTACTCATCCATCCATCCATCCATCCACCCATCCATTCTTTCATTCATCTATCTATCCATCCATCCATCCTTTCATCCATGTATCTATCCATCCATCCATCCATTCATCCTTTCATCCATCTACTCACCTACTCATCCATCCATCCATCCATCCATCCGCCCATCTATCCATCCTTTCATCCATCTATCTACTCACCTATTCATCCATCCATCCATCCACCCACCCATCCATTCTTTCATCCATCTATCTACTCACCTACTCATCCATCCATCCATCCATTCATCCACCCACCCACCCACCTACCCATCCATCCTTTCATTCATCTGTCTATTCACCTATCCATCCATCCATCCATCCATCCATCCATCCATCCATCCATCTATCCTTTCATCCATCTATCTACCCATCTACTCATCTATCCATCCATCCATCCACTCGGCAACATTTATGAAATATCTATGGTGTGTTAAATGCTACGTAAGTACAGGGATAACAAGAGGAACAATAAGACTTATAATTTATAGTCTAGTAGGGGGAAAGCAAGAGACTTGCTAGGTATATGGCATTGCAGCATAAGAAGGAATAGCGGTGGTGGAGAACTCCAGGCATATGGCATGAGAAAGATGTAAAAAAGCAAAAAATGTGCACTAGCAGAGTACAATGATGAATAAGTATTTCAAGATGCCTAAAATATATGGTGCTGGGGGTGGAATGTGCTTATAAAGAAGGCAAAGGCCACATATTTAAGGGCTCTAGATGCCATGGTACTGAGTTTGGATTTTATCCCAAGGGACTGGAGAGCCACTGAAAGATTTTAAACTGGAGAGTAGCATAGTAATACCTGTAGTTTAGAAAGATCCTATCTTGCATAGCATGGAGATGTAGGTAGGGTGGTGTTTGGACTGGAGGCAGGGGGACCGTTAGAAGGTTGCTGTGCAAAATTGGGGTGGCTTGAATTAAGGCTGGCAGGAAGGGAGGAGGATATTTAAGAGGCAGAATATGTTAAGAGGCAGAAGTGAGAGTGAGGAAAAGGATGAGGTAGAAGATGGCCAGCCCCCAGGTTTGGGGTTTGGTCAACTGCGTAAGTGATGATGCCATCAACAATATTGGGAAGGCAGGTGGAGGTGGTTTTAGGGAAAGTGAATGAGTTCAGTGTTAGAAATACTGAGTCCAGGGTCCTTGGGGATGACCAGGGAAGATGACTAATGGGAGAATGGTAATCTGGGATCATCAGCACCCAGGGATTAGTCAAGCCGTTGGTGTGAGTGAGGTGACCTGGAGAACACATGGAATGAGAAGAGAAGACGGCAGGGGCTCCCAACCTGAACACAGCAATGCCTAAAGGGTGAGAGAGGAGGAAGAGGAATCCCCAAAGAAGGAAGAAAAGGGTGGTCAGAGAGTTAAGCAGAACAGGAGGAAATGGCGTCATGAGGGCCAAGAGTTCCAAGAAGTACAAGGTCACCAGTGTCAAAGCTCAGAGAGGTCAAGTAAAACGAACAATGACCAAGGTCCCCTGGATTTGGTGATTAGAAGAGCATGGGTGACCTTTGCCATGATGACTTCAGTGCTGCTACTGGGGCAGTGGAAGCCTGGGCTGGGCCCCGCAGGGTTGGAGAGTGTGAAGGAGGTCCAGAAGTGCAGACAGAAAGAGCACACCATTTCTTTCTTTTTCTTTGGAATGAATTTCTGTACTTTCTTCTCTCTCTCTCTCCCCCACCCCCAACCCCAACCCCCTTCTTCTCTTCCTTCCTTTCCCTCTTTTCTTTGTTTTTGGAACTTGCCTATGGAAGAAGAAAAGGGGAGGATGCTAGGGGAAAGACACTGGCACAGGGTCACCTAGAATGGTCTGGGAATCTGGTGTGGTTAAAGTAGGAGAGTCTTGAGCCAGTTTAAAGGTAGAGGTGAGGTGCCAGAGTGCAGGAGAAGAGGATAATCAGAAAGGAGGAAAGGATCAAGTACATAGATCTGCCTTAAAGAAGAGTAGTGTCGCCCTCTGAAGTGGGAGGAAGGGCTGGTGTGGCCATGGATATAGGTGCTTGTGTAGATGCTAATGTTGCCTAGCCTGGCACCAAAGCTACAAAATTAGTGCTGTTTTATGTTAATCGCTCTTGCCTGCCCACAGTGCAGACACCTTCAGCAGAGGGGAATGGGCCCCCATGCCACTTTTCCACCAGTCTAACATGGAGCCTTGGTATGGTGGTTATGGTCAGATGTCAGGAAATTTGTGGTTCTGACCTGGCCTTCAGTCCAAGCTTGTGCCCTGTGGTCTGGCTGCCAGCCCTCCTAACTAAGGCGGGCGGGCACCCTAGCTGCGGACCAGGCGCCCCAGAGGGAATAATTAGCCTCCTTCCTGCCGGGCTTGCAAACCACCCCGTACAAAGTAGCGACAGTGGATGTCACATGGGGGATGCTTCATCCCACAGCTGGCCCGGGGGCTGGAAATATAATTTGGGGCTCAGGGTAGACACCAAATTCTTCTGGAGACATTGGATCCAGAAGGCAGGGCTACAACTCCAGCGGCTTCTCCTGTGGACCAAGCTCCAGCTAGTGGCCTAGACAGGGGCTAGTTCTGTTCACAGTGCCTGCAGCCAGGAATCCCCAGGACCCTGGGGTGGGTTTGAGACTCCAGGGAAGCAGCTGTGCCTGCAGCCAGTGCCTCCCAGCTTCCCCTTTAGGCCCTCCCCATCCCTTCTGGAAGCTTCTTCTGTGCTCACTGCCCCCAGTCCAAGATCCCTCCTGAGGAGTGAACAGGAAATGCCTAAGGCAGCTCTGAGGTTCCCCTTTTGAGAGGGGGCCTCTGAGGGTGAACAGCACCTTCGGAATCCTCATGCTCACCTGGCTTACATATTTTGAGTGGTTGTTCTATGTGCTCTGTGTGTTTTTAAAGATCCATTTGATCTTTCTACCAGATGATCTGAGTTAGGCACCACTGCAACGCTCTTCATGTCACAGCTACAGAAACTGAGGCACAGGGAAGGAAATGATTTCTCCAAGAGCACACAAGTAGGTAGAAAAATAGCTTCACTCCTGCTCCCCAGTGAGTGCCCACATAAATAGGCTGATGGGGAGAGGCCGGCCAAAGGTGGGGTGATGGCACATCTCGTTTGCCTGGAATAGTTCCAGTTTTCACCTGTCATCTCAAAGTCATTAGTAAAAGCATCCTTTCCACTCTCCAAACTGCCCTGATGTGGATCATATACGGTCACCTAGATAAGGGAGGGGTGCTGGGAGGTTGGGAGTTTTTCCCAGGCCTCCCAGATCCCCTGGGTAGTCCACAGCCCTCTGGCCTATTCCATTTCCCTTCCCCGTGCCTCAGGGCCCCCATTATAAATGGGGCCTCAGGGCCATCTAGGGGCTGGGTAGCTGGGGTGGGGAGGAGGGCTCGAGAGGCTACCGAGTGTCCCATGGCCTAGAGATGGGTGGTTATCATCACAGGAGATCAGAACTCCTGGCTCGCAGGCGGCACCTGAGCCTGCAAGCCCTCCCCACTCCGCAGGGAACAGGATGGAGTTATGGTCACTGGGAACACTGGGCACAGCTCCCTGCTGGAGCGCAGGGCCCTGGGGAGGGCAGATGGAGGAGAGAAGGGTAGAAGAGCAGTTACGCCCAGCCCCGCACTGGGCAGCCCAGTCAGCAGTGCCTGGCCTAGGGGGAAATCTCTGACCCTCCCCACTGAGGCCACCCTCTCCAGGAAGGACTGCACTGTATGTCTGACTCTGCACAACAGAGCTCCTTGAGACAGGGGATAGTTTGGGCAGCCAGGGGCCAGTCCTGGGGCTTGGGGTGGGTGGGAGGCTCCCCTCAAAGGCTCACAGGTCTCTGAAATCACAGGTCCCTCCACAGCCCCGACATCCACCAGGCTGGGACCCCGGGCAAGCAGAAGGGTAGGGCAGGGGGCTCAGGCTGCCATCTGCTTCTGGCTGAGCCTCCTCCCTGCCCCCAGCTCCAGCCCCTTCCCCCAGTCCCTGCCCCTGCTTCTGGCCCCTACCTCCACCCACCTGAGGCCTGGACTTGACCTTGCTGGCTGTGGGGGCAGGGTGTGATAAGTGTCTCCGTGGAGGGAGCTAGCTGCCTGCAAAGGCATTTTCCGCTCTCTAAAGTAAACAATCAAACAGGAAATTAATCGAGAAACCCACATCAACGGAAGGTTCAGGTTGTGATTTTCACAGCCCCAGAGCCAGGAAATTCAAAGTTATAGTTCCCATAGTAACTTGCCTGTAGAATCAGCGACTGCTGGGCTGGAACAAGGCCCTGTGGGGTCACCTAGGCCAGCCCTGGCCTCTGGAAAGCATTGCCCAGCAGTAAGTCTGAGAGTCTTGGGGGTAGGCTGCTCTTCTGAGGCGGAACATTAATCCTGGGAACACTGTGAGGCCAGGGCTCTCCCTTCCGCGCTAACAGGAATGGGCGCTCGGCTGACCTCTCAAGGATTCCGTTGACCCATCTTCTATAATATATTCCCGTATTCCCTCTAGCACTCCCACCCACAGGCCTGCGTTCTATGAAACGGGAATAATACTCACCAGGCCTCCTGCCTCACAGGCTTCAAGGCAGCCAAGAGCGGGGCTGAGCGAGGCCTGGTTTTTCACACTCAGGCCCCACCACCCTCGTTCTACTCAGTCCCATGAGGCCTGACCTCCCCATCCCCGCAGCCCCTGAATCTTGTAATTGGCATTGGCCCATCCCCTGGTTGTTTCTCTTCCAAGAGACGTTTCAGTTGACTGACAAGTCCAGGAGCTTCGAAAACAGCCACCAAGGCAGCTCCATTACTTGAACGTCCCCGTCTCTCCAACCCTCCCACCCCCTGGCAGGACCAAATACATTGATATTAGCTGAGTGCACACTTAACTGCCCCCGATTGAGAACCAGGTAGATTTAATGAAACCGGAGGCAAAGCCTCCTCCACCTTCCAGTAGGTAGGGGCTGTGCGTCTTGGGTGGAGTTCTCTTTTGTGTGTGAGCGCTGAGGAGTCCCTGCCTGGCAGGAAAGGAGATAAGGGCGTTGGAGCTCAGCCCCAGAAGGAAACAGTCTGGAATCCTTCCCTGAGAGCCACCCTGCCCTCCCACCCGAGATGGCCACTGATAGCCGCCTGGCCTTATCAGCCAGGTGCGGGACCCCTGGGATAACACCGGCTGAGGAGACAGTGAGCGCTTCCCAGGCACCGGGCTGGTGGGAGAGGGGCCTGCCCGCCTGCCCGCCTGCCTGCCCACCAGCCTGGCCCCCGAGCCAGCGTCTTGAATCGAGCAAAGCAGTGGCAAGACAGAAGTGGCGCCTGCTGGAAAGAGACAGAGCGTCTCCTTGATTTCCTAACAGGCCCAGCCATATGCCAGGGGCGGACAGGCCAGCTCAGAACGCCGGGCCTGGCTTGCGAAACAGTCCTTTCCTCCTCTGGGTAAGCTTCCCTGGGGGCGACTAAACCACAGTCCAGCCACTCAATTCCCTAGAGGAGCTGGGCTGAGCCGGGGCCACGAGGGCGCTGCCCTAGGCAGAGAGGTTGAGTTCTCTGCTGTCCCAGAGGGAAGCTCAGGGAGGGCCCGGCTGCAGAGGCCACCCATCAGCTCAGAAGGAGGGCCTCCCCATGCCCAGAGCCCAGGGGCCGCTCCAGCCACTGGCCCCTGCTTGCTCACCAACTGGGCACAAGATTATCTGCAAGGCTATGCCAACCTACAGTTCCCTGAGACTGGGAAGAAGCTTCTTAGAAGATTGTTTATGGGATGCCTACATTAACCAGGTGCCCTCTTAAATGTAGGGGGCTTTTACCAACCTCAGACTTTACAGAGCATGAGTCAGGGAGGGCATAAATAACGAGCAAGGGTCATTGGAGGACTTAGAAAAGGGACACACTGGCCCACTCCTCTGCCACCAAGCACGGAATTTTGAAGAAACCTTTGCTTAAACCATGTTCTTTTTTGCATGATAATCTTGGCATGCTGTATTGAAGAAGGATCAACACTTGTAGTAGCCTGGTTTCCAGACAGAGGTGCCCATCTTCTGGGGTGGGGGTGGGGGTGGGGGTGGAGTGAAGCCTTGTGGCAGGAGCTGGGTTGGAGGGCTATCCTTTGGGTGAGGGAGTGCAGCTGGTTCTGCAGTGGGTTTGGGCAGAATGCAGTAACCAAGGACCAACTGGGTAGGGACAGCTGGGCCGGAGACAATTAAGCTCTGTTACTGTTCAGAGAAGAATCGGGCTGTGCTAAGGGCATAATTAGCATTGTGCTCAGAGGAGCAGCCACCCATTGGAGGAGCAGACAGGCCTGGGCTGAGAAAAGGGCCTGGGGCTGCCCAGGGTGTCAGTAGGGATTTGGTAAGTACTCTTTGCCAAGTCTAAGAGACTCGGAGATAAGAGAAGTTAATTGGCACCTGGAAGTTTGTTTGGCTTTAGAGCCTTACCCTTAGCAGAATATAAATTTTAATAATGGGGCAACTCTTTTTCTAAGTCGAGATGATCTTTTTGGATGAATGAGCATGTGAGTCAATATTCTGTTATCACCTGTGCATTCTCACTGTGTTCAACTGACCAGGCTGCATGGGGATGAGGGCTTAGCCTGGCATTCAGGCGGCTCGCTGGGCCACTTCTGCTCTGGGCCCTACAGTCTTCCCACCTTGCCCCCTTCACAGACCTCCAATCCACCCAAACTCGTCTGTTCACAGGTCTAAGGATGCATCCTGCCCTTATCTGCCTCTGGGTTTTGCTGACAATTCTCTTGGCTGAGCATGCCTTTTCTGATCTTGGCTCCATTGACCAGATCCCTTAAGAACAATGGTAAGAGCCTCATCCAGGAAGCCTTCCCTGATCTTCTCTGACCTCCGTAGCCAGAAGACTCACCACTCCCAGCCTGGGAGCAACTGTTGCTTCTACCTAGTTCTAGGTCTAGTCTAGCATCTACCTAGACTAGCTTTTCTTCACACTGCTCACACAGGCACTTGAGTCCACCTGGGCCTCTCGGAAGACCTGAAGATTGGATTTGAAAGAAAGCATGGCTTTCTGCTGGCTGGGGTGAGGCCATTCGGAAGGGCCTCTGTTCCCTGGGATGCAGCCCCCCAGTGACATAAAGCCTTGGAGCACAACAAGTCCAACTTCTCCAGGGTGTCTGAAGGGGGTAGTAACAACTTTTCATTCATTCACTCATTCAACAAGGAGGCACAGATCCTGGCCTTATAGATTTATGAGTCTAGGAGGGAAGACAGATGTTGCATAAGCAGATCAGCATTTGGAACTAAGGCTGTAAAGTGAGACTGCCTGGATTCTAATCCTGATTCAGCCGCCCCACCAGTCATGTTGTGCAATACAGGCAACCCCTCTGTGTCTCAGTTTCCTTACCTGTAAAGTGGTGATACTAATATTACCTCCCGCCAAGGGTAGTTGCAAGGATTAAAGAAGAGGATGTGGGGTGTTTAGGATAGTATCTGGCACACAGTGAGCTCGGTCAGTGGTGGCTCTTAGAACTGAGTGGGCTGCAAGTGGCACAGTGTAGAGTGTGCTGTGGGGTCAGTGACGGGAAGAACTGTTCTCACCTGGGTCAGGAGAGGAGGCTCAGGGACAGCTTCCTGGGAAGAAACCTTTGAAGCTACAGCCAGGAGAGTGGGGTGAGGAGAGGAAGAGAGGGAAGGACACCACAGGCAGGGAGAAAAGTGAGTCAGGAGTGCTCAGAGAGAGGGTGGCAGGGTGAGACTGAGAACAGGAGGGGTGAGCCAGTGAGAGGGCTGGTGGGGTAATTCAGGGGAAAGGAAACAGTGGCCTAGCCGAGCCGTGGAGAGGCAGAAAAGTGGTGGCCAGATTCAAGAAAATCTGCAAGAGCTGCTGCTCACAGACCCTGGGAACTGGCAGCAGGGTGGCGGTTGGTGGTGAGTCAGGGATGGCCTCGGGGCTGTAGCCGGCACAGCCTGGAGGTCCTTCTCCGGGAGGAGGTGCAGGCTTGGGGAGCAGAAGACAGGTTCCACTAGGACACTTAGAGATTGAGGGGCTGGTGGGCAGGCCCGGGGAGGTGTCAGGGAGATGTGCCTGGGCCTGAGATGCAGATCTAGAGTTTGGGGGCTGCTGCTGCCCTTGAATCTGCCTGTGACCAACACAGGCTTCAGGGCCTGCCCTGGCAAATCACTATTGCTGCCTGTCCCTTGGCAAATCCCTCAACTTCTCCATATGCTTCTGGTTAAGGGGCCACCAAATAAATGAAGTGTTGGAGAAGGCTGTAAAGGTGAACACAGTGCCTAAGTGAAGGCTCCTACACTAAACTCTGTGTTGGCCCCGAGGGAGACAAAGGTTGTGCAGTAATGCATATACTTTGAGCCCACCCAAGTGTGCACAGCCACAGCCTCAAGCACAGACATGCTGTCTGTGTTGTGCTTTCTATGAAGTGTGACTATAAAGGGGACTCGTTTCAGGGGGGCGGACAAAAATCAATCTATATATTTCCTCAGATTTTCTCCAGTATCTGCCTGTGCAAGGACCCAGGTGAGACATCTTCCAGGCGGCCACTGCACCGAGAGGCTCACGTGAGGCGTGGGCAGCCCAGCACGCTCAACTCTAGGAGGGCACTGGCTTGGGAAGGCAGCGCACCTGCCTTCTGATAGGCATTTCGCCTGGGATGAAAGTTCAGTGTAGGCTCCAGCTCCTATGTGAGTCTACCCACAAGCTGACGGGCTGTTGATGTGCCGGGGTGTTGGGAGAAAAGCAGGAAGAAAAAGCAGGTGCTTTGTTGCTGTCATTTCTGGATTTTAATTAATGCCAAGACTACACACTTGGAGAAGTGAGAACTCTTCCTACTTTAGGGACACTGATAGGGAGCAAGTTTGGGGGAAAGTAGAAAAAAAAAAATCAGTTCTTCTATTTTCCAAGGTAAAATAAAACCCCAGGGAAGACGGACTTTGTTTTTAAAAGTCTCTCTTCCTCAGTGTGCCCCCGTTCTGGCATTGGACAGCAAAACCAAATCAGAGTTCCAGAGACAGCCCCACTCCCTTCCCACCAGGGAGGGTGTGGGTGTGGGGGATTCTTAGCCTCGCAGTCACCCAGTTGCCCAGGGCTGCTGGGACAGGTTGGTGGGGGGCAGGGGCTCAGGGCATCTGGGAGCAGGGAGAGGGATGCATCCAGTGGGTAGTTCCCAGCCCTGTGTTTGTACTGGATCCACCTAGGAGAGAAACAGATCCAGCCCTCACTCTTTGATTTTAGGGCTATGTAGGGCTGTGGGGGCCTAGGAATCTGTATAGTAAGATCTCTGGGTGTTTCTGGTGCAGTCAGAGTGGGCACCACTGAGAAAAATGTCTCTTCAGGTGGATGGGAGTGGCAGAGGCTCCATAAATGACTGAGACCCTCTTCTTAGCTCTAATCGCCTTTGTTCAGTTTGGGCTGGGCTCACCCAGGCTCAGGTGCCCCTAGGCCCATAGCTTCCACCCCTGCCTTCAGGTGCTTCCCCCAGCCCAGACCTCAGCCCTCCCCAGCTCCCAGGCCACTCCTCCTCCTCTGAGTTCCTGCAGCACTGAGAATTTGAACCCCGGATGTGACATGAACAGTGGTCTCGGTGTCCTCTGAGTGGGGATGTGTGCCAGGCCCCTGCTAAATGCTTGATGGGCCTTAGACAGCCCCCTTCTCGCCCCCACCCTGTGAGGCAGGCACCAGTGCTCCCTTGCTCTAGGGAGGGGCTCTCGTGAGCACAGGGATGAGGATTTGGATCCGAGACCATGAGGCTGTTGTTCCTCCCTTTACCAATGTGTGTATGGGAGGCCCCGGGAAAGGAGACCCCCCAGCCCCTGGGCATTGGATGGGAGCCAGGAGGAGAAAGATGAGGTCCCCAGTCCTTGGCAGCTCGTAACCTCTGGACCTCACTCCTTTGCCCCCAGGCCAGGCAGTGCAGGCTTTGCTGTCAAACCCTGGCTGCCTCAGTTTCCTGCCCTTCCCCGCTCCTTATGCGATGGGAAGGGACAAACAGCCCAAATGTGGGCAGGGATGCAGGACTAGTAGCTGACAATTTCCCAGGGTGTCCCACTGGGCCCCGGCGCCCTCTCAGCAGGCTGATGGCAGGTGATGTGGACTAAGCAGGGGACACACTCACAGATGGCATCTATGTGCGGTGCCCAGGAGGAAACCAGAGGCACAGCTTGGGTGGCAGCAGAGCCAGCACCAGAACTCAGATTTCCTGACTCCTAGCTGGTTGTTCCTGCACCAGGCAAAGAGGAGAGGAGTGGAGGAGGAAGGCCTGGCTAATCCTTACCTGGGCATGACCAACGGCAGTCTCCTGGGGCTTCCCACCCTGCTTCCTTGCCCCTCTAGGGGAATGGCAGGTGCTGGCAGTCCAGGGGGACCTGGTGGGATGTTGGGACCTGGAGGGCTGAAGTGATGGGGTTGGTTGGGGATCTCACTCACTGGTGCCTCATAATCGCCCAGGCCTTTGGAGTTGAGGTGTGAGAAGCTGGAGGGCCTGCCCCATACGCATCTTAGGGGGCAGCAGGGTGGTGGAGGGGTCCCCTAGATGCCAGTGGTGACCCCACTGTCCTCCAGGCAGAGCAAGCAGGGCCCACACAGCCCTTAGAATCAGGCCTTGAAAAAGACCAGGCTGAGCATGGGGACCCTGAAGGGCAGCCCAGGGCCTCTCTGGGGGCTGCTGGCTGTGCTCAAGAGGGGGCACCTGATGGGACCACGTCAGCTCCAGGAGAAGCACAGAATATACTTTTTAACTCTGACTTTGTTGCTGGGATCTTGAATGCTCCAGAGCACAGTGGGAGCTGCCTCTTTAGAGAAGCAGCTGCTGGGGGAGGAGGGAGGTGGGGCCTGGAGGTGGGTGGGCTCCAAGGCAGTGGCTCCTAGGGCGGGGGTATGCATTTGTGCCTTCCTGCAGCAAATGTTCATGGGCTAGAGGGCCTGGGGCCATGGGGACCAAACAGCCCGGTGCCTGTCCCCAGGCCACCTACAGTGGGGGGCAGAGGGGTAGAATGACAAATGCAAACAGGGAGCTGGGAGGGAGCCCCCTTTGGATGGATGAGGTGATCAGGGCAGGCTTCTCTGCAGAGGAAACCCAAAGGTTGAGTAGGGGGCAGCCAAGTCAGGGGTGAGGGCAGGTGGGGGGCTTGGTGGGAAGGGACCATGACCGACAGCTCCCACACAGTCCCCTCTCCACACCTGGCCTGACATGTCCTACTTGATCCTCACATAGTCCCATCACTGCTTTATGGACCACGCCAGAGGGGGGAGATCAGATGATCTCCAGTGTGCCCAAGGCCACTCATGGGGGTCAGGGAGCTGATTCTCAAATCCAGGAATATGCCTTGAAAGTCTGGGGCTCCCTTCTGCACTGTGCTTATAGATGTGGGATCCTTAGCTTTCTTGGGAGCATGGATCCCTTTGAGGATCTCGATGAAAAATCTGCACCTCTCCCAGAAAAATGCACCTCTGCACAGGTTCACAGATGTCTGCATACAATTTCAGGGTTCTCAGACCCTGAAGGCCACCAAGGGACCCAAGTACATGAGCCTTACACAGCACAACCTAAATCGTCAATGGCAATGTCTCAGGAGTGTAGGACAGTGACTGCCTCTGTAAGACCATCAGCACAGCCATGGCCACACATGTTGTCTGGAGGATCAGGTGGCCTTTTTCTGTGGCTTTTGAGGTTGAGGCTGGGTACCCTTGTGGCTAATGCATAATGCCAGGATGGCCAATAAAGACACCATAAAAATTCCCTGCCGTGTGCCTGACACTGGACAGATTTAATCTCCAGGTCTTCTGGGAACCCCGCAGAGGCAGGGGCTGTTTTCTCATTTTACTGATGGAAACTGAGGCTCAAGGAAGTGAAGGAATTTGTTTCAAGTCCCAGGCAGTACCACGAACATGGGATTTGAAATCACGCAAGTCTGACACGCAAACCTTGGTTCTTTCCTTTTTCCCTTCTCACAGAGGGTGCTTTTCGCTTCCCGGAAGCTGGCAGGGAGTTCCTCTAAAGCGCAGGTTGGAGTGGTCAGAAGGGAGCGAACTGACAGCACGAGGAAGGCTCAGCGCATGCCAGCTCCACTCACGGGAAATGACTCACTGCAGCCCTGCTGCTCTCGGGCTCCGGGGGACACATCCACATTTCCTGTATCTCGGCTAGAGCCTTGGGCAGTGTGAGCTGGCAGGGCAGATCGCTGAAGGCGGCTAGAGATAGAAAACCACCCAGCTCTGCATCCTGAGACAAAGAAGCCTTTCCCTGGGCTCATATGATAGAGGTACGTTGCCTCTGGGCCTCAGTTTTGCCATCTGTAAAATAGGGTGAAGGTCAGACTAGATTGGGCATATTCAGTGTGGGATCCCCCTAATGACGGCATCAGCATCACCTGGGAAACTGCAAATTCTCCTTTATGACAGTGGCTCTCAAACTTTAATGTGCATTGAAACCATCTGGAGGAGAGGAGCGTTTCCCACTTGAGAACCACACAGCGGGATCAGGGAGGGGCGAACTATAGTCCACCGGCCAAATCTGGCCATGGCCTGCTTTTTATGGCCCATGAGCTAAGAATAGTTTTTTCCATTTTTCAGTAGTTGGGGAAAAAAATCAAAGAATATTTTGTGACATATACAAATTATATGAAATTCAAATCTCAGTGTCCATAAATAAGGTTTCGTTGGCACACAGTCACTCTCAGTCATTTGCATATCGTCTACGGCTGCTTTTTCCGCTATGAAGACAGAGTGGAGGCGCTTGCTCTCCTGGTTACATGCTGCTGCTCACGCCCTACACCTCGCAGGGATGTGGTTAAACTCGGCTTTGCCTCTTGGCCTGCAGAGCCTAAAATATTTACTATCTGGCCCTTCATACCAGACATTTGCCGACCCTCATCTACAGAGAGAAGGGAAAGGAAGAGAACGGGAGGGGAGGGGAGGGGAAAGGAGGGGGAAGGGGAGAGAAGGGGTTTGTGCAAGAGCTGGGGTCCCTTCTGGGGAAAAAATGAGCTGTCAGGGGCTTTTGGAATCTGAGAGAGTCCTGCTCTGCGCTGGGCCAACATTTGGAATCTTTTGCACAGTTGCTTTGAGGGTGATCTGGAAGGCCCCTCTGACCAATAAAGACCTTCCCTCTTGCCTGTATGAAAACCTAACATTCCACTTCTAGAGCAGGGGCTCTTACCTGGGAAGCCCCCCATCCAGAGGCCAGGCTTCGGGGGTTCTAGGTAAGCTTTTAAGCATGCAGGTGTTTTCTGGGGAGAGTTTGGTGGCGCCAGTGACCTTCCCTACCCCTCCCAAATCCCAAGCACCCTTTTTGTTCCTTTGGGGCACACATTTTTCTCTCCCCACCCCTCCTTTCAAAATGTGAAAGTCCCCGGAAGGGGGACACTGTGCACCTACATCTTCCTACCTAGGAAAGGGGTGAGGTGATCTGATGGGACTAGGCAGGCTTTAGGAACGTCCAAGGAGTCTGAGGAGAGGTGGAGGGCGGCGGGGGCAGGGGGGCATTTAGAGAGAGGAAATGGGAAAGAGGGCATCTTTCCCAGAGGGCTGCAGGACCTCCGAGCCCACACTATCTGTACTCATCCACTTCTCCGCATCAGCAAGAGGCATCCAAGACTCGCAGCCCACACGGCTACCCTCCCACCCTCACTGGTGGGCACTTCCACTCCCCAGGCCCCACGAGGCCTCCCGCCTGCAGCGTTAGCCAAGCAAGTCTCAACTCTGGCCCTGGGATTCCAGGTATTTTCCCAGCCAGCCGCACCTCATCTAATTGCTTTCCAGTCAGCTAATCCCTGGCCCACGCCCTCCACTCCAGCCAGGCAAGCCACCTCTGTGTGGCCAGCAGGAGCTTCTGAGACTTCCCATGGCATGCATCCAAGCCTGGGGCAGCCTCTCGCCTCCCCTTGCCCAAACCACATCCTCTTTGCCCTTCCCCACACCTCAAACTCTCCTCTGACTAACATTTCCAAAAAAAGTAGAGCTTGGTCCAGTCCAGACCAAAAGCGGCAGACTAATTCATTCCCTACCACCTCCGCCCCCCAGACTCAGCACTTCCTGACTATCAGGAAAGAACAATCAGCAAAAAGTGGAGCTGTACCTACTGTTCAATTTCTAGAGCTAATTGTTTTCAGCAGGGTTTTGGCCTTAATTAAAGGATAATTAATTACTGAATGTGTGTTTGCATTTCCACAAGTGTGTTTGCGTTTCCTAAGTCTGGCTTTTAACCCTGGGAAACCAGATTCAGCAAATACTTTCATGTTTCAATACTTCTGAGTAAGGGAGAAGGTCTTAATTACAGAAATGGTAGTCCTGTGTAATCAAGGGGCAATGCAAGAATGAGCTAATTGTGCCTTCCACACACTCGGCCACGATTTCTGTCGAGCTGCTGTGAGGAGAGGGTGGCAGCTGCCCAGCCCTGCCCAGCACTGTGTCCCTATCCGTGGATTCTCTTATCCCTGTCACGCAACTGGCCACCCCTGCCACAGCCCTTCTCTTCCCTTTCTATGTGTTTCTTCTTTCCTACCTTTTCCCCCTCTTTAGCACTTTGGGAGGCTGAGGCGGGATTGCTTGAGCCCAGGAGTTTGAGACCAGCCTGGGCCACATGGCAAACCCCGTCTCTACTAAAAATACAAAAAATTAGCCGGGGGTGGTGGTGCACACCTGGAGTCCCAACTACTTGGGGGGCTGAGGTGGGATGATTGTTTGAGCCTGGGAGGTTGAGGCTGCAGTGAGTCCTGATTGTGCCACTGCATTCCAGCCTAGGTGACAAAGGGAGACCCTGTCTTAAAAAAAAAAAAAAAAGAAGGACCACGTTTTCCAGACCCTGCAGGGAGCTCTCCAGCCAGGCAGCCCCCACACGCACACTGGCTGTGAGCTTGAGGTTTTAGTATTCATGGTGCCCCTTTGCTGCCTGGTGCTATGAGAGGCTATGAAAAGTACTTTTGAGACTTTGGGAATCCAGTTACTTTAGGGGTCCAGAACTGCTCCAAAAGCCTGAGGATTCCAGAAGCTGCCTCCAGACCGCCTGGTCCAGCGTAATAGCCACAGGCCACATGTGGTCTTGGGCACTTCAAATGTGCCTGAGTCCAAATTGAGAGCTGCTTTCAGTGTAAACTACAGACTGGATTTCAAAGACTTCGTACCAAAAGAGAAGAACGTAAAAAATATCTCATTGGTACTTTTTAATATTGATTACACGTTAAAATGGTGATTATTTGGATATATTAGACAGCATAAAATTAATTTCACCTGTTCCCTTTTCAGTTTTTTAAAATGTGGCTACTAGGCCATGTAAAATTACACGTGGCTCACGTTATATTGTTACTGGCCATGTTGCTCCATAGGTGAATTCTGCTGTAATTGTCAAGGTTTCCGTCATCTTCAAGGTCTGTGACTGTGGGTGTCCTTTCCCACCCACTCCATTCTCCCACCCTTCGTGCCCCCTGCACATACTCCTAACTTCCTCCGTTCCTCATGGGAGGGGCAGTGAGGAGGGCCCTGCTGAGCGCTGTCACAGTGTACAGCAGGTGCCCAGGCCCCCACAACAATCCCTTCCCCATGGGCTCTTGGTCCAGGGAGCTTTGCTAGAAGCTCCTCCTGACTTCTCCTAAAGATTGTGGTTTGTGGGATTCTGACTTTGGACAGACTGAATCTCATATGAAGCTCGGTGGAGGGTTGTTGAGAAAAGGCCACTTAACCAAAGGCAGGGACAGAACAGAGGCAGCTTCGCAGGCTGAGAGCACTGTTTGCACTGGTTCACTCACAGTGTGGGCACAAATGCCCCTTTTGGGCTTGCTTGCTGGGGTGATGGGGGGTGTTTCTTTTCCCTTTCCCGTTCTGAGCTCATCTCCAGGGACCACTACCAGCCAGCCCCACTCTGCTCACTCACATTGCCCCTTCAAGGGTTCTGGATTTATCTCCACTGAGAAATCATTCCAGATGAATTCTAGAAGGGCTGACTATTGTCTCTGGCTTTGCTCAGTCTAGGCACTCTACTTCCTTAATTCAGTCAATAAGTATCTACTGAGGACCTGCTATATACCAGGCACTATTCTAGGCACAGGGATACAGCTGTGAATAGACACGTTCCCTGCCTTGAGAGAGTTTCCATGCTAGTTGAGAGACAGAAAATAAGCGATTAACAAAGAAAACTCCAAGCCAGGCACTAGTAGGGCAATGAAGAGAAGGCAGTCAGGCTGGGGACAGTGGTGGGGGGACAGGCTGGGGCGTGGTCGGGGGGGGGTCTGAGAAACTGACTTCTGAGCAGAGCCCTGGACAGGCACCTAGAAGAAGGGCCTTCTCCCAGAGAGTGAACCAAGGTCCTGAGCCTTATTCTACTGTGTTCTTCCACATTTTTTCCCAGTAAGCAGCACTTCAGTTTATACAATATAAAATATGCTGTGAACCCATCCTTTTATTTCATGTCTTTGTTTTTTGGGGGTGGTGTACCTCTCAGACAGTGAGCTACAGGGAAGGGAGGAAGTCAATTTATAATCAACAAATCTGGCCGGGCGCGGTGGTTCACGCCTGTAGCCTGTAATCCCAGCACCTTGGGAGGCCAAGGTGGGCGGATCACCTGAGGTCAGGAGTTTGAGATCAGCCTGGCCAACATAGTGAAACCCCGTCTCTACTAAAAATACTAAAATTAGCTGGGTGTGGTGGCACACGCCTGTAATCCCGGCTACTCAGGAGGCTGAGGCAGGAGAATCCTTGACTCTGGCAGGCGGAGGTTGTAGTGAGCCAAGATCACATCACTGCACTCCAGCCTGGGTGACAGAGCGAGACACTGTCTCAAAACACAAACAAACAAACAAAAATAATTAACACATCTACCCAAGGGCCAGAGAGGGTAAGCTGCAGAAGACTGTCTGCCTCCGAAACCCACCTTCTTCCCCTAGCATTCCCCTCCTCTTCCTGGCTACAAGAGAAGGCTGATCCTGGAGGTTCTTTCTCAAAAGGCCTGGCCCCGCCCACACTCTGACCTACAGTTCAGTGCTGGCGGCAATGAGAGCAGAGCCATCAAGAAGGAGCTGGAGCCTGGCTTGGTCTTGAGGTGGACAGAAGGGAGGAGAAAAGTTAGTTCCCTAAACATCATTCACATCTGAAGGCAAGAATGGCAGCAGGTGGATATCATCAATGCTAATTTGAGCTACAGGTCCTGAGAGCTGGAGTCGGTTGGAGAAAGATCCACAGGGGTCCTGGAGAGCTGTGTGTGCTTTATTCACCCTCGGCTCTTAGTGCAGGGCACCGTTTGCTCCTCCTCTCCCCAGGAGACAGCAGCTCTGTGAGGACAGGGACCCCAGCGTGCTTATGCCCAGGGCCTAGCAGTGGGTCCAGCACTCGGCACCCCAACTGCTAGATGGAGGGCACCTGTGCTGGAGCACGGAGGCTGGGCAAGGCGGGGGCCCACTCTGGGAAGCACGGAGGTCGGGGGGCTCTGCAGACGTCTGCAGAGTTGCCTGGATCCTCCCTTAAGGTGGGAAACAGGCAGGCTTATATTTTGACTTCTGAGTTACCTGGAGTAACTGATGGCCATTTTTTGCACCCCCAGTGCCCGGTTTATGATCTCTGAAATGTGTAAGTCACTGTCCCTCCCTCCCAACCAGTCCTCCCAACCAGACCTGCACTCAGAAAGTCCCCCAGCCTGGCTCCCCTAGTGTTTGCTGCCATCCACCTGCTGGGAAACTGCTAAGGGACGGTGAGGGTGTGTGAGCAGGAGGGCATCCTACTGTGTGATTTTAACCCCAAAGGATTACCCCAAAGGATTTAAAAATCTAGACGGATGCTTGTGCCTGTGTACATATACATCTTGTACCCACAACTCTGGCAAGGTACGATTCTATCCTCCCCAGTCCCGTCCATTAAACAGCTCAGAAAAAATAATCTGCACCCCCTCCCTCCTCCAAGCCTTCAGCAGCTGCCGGTCCCCTCCCACCTTCAGCTCAGCTCTGCAGATAGCAGGGGCCTCTTGAAGTTCAGACATTAATTACCCAGTCAGAAGATTTTTCAAAATTACAAGGCATGGCCCCAGGAGATAAGAGGGAGGAGGAGGAGCAGGCGGGGGAAGGAGATGGGAGGGCAAGCCGTCCAGGGCTGCGAAGGCGGGGCTGGGGGCTGGGAAGGTGCCCCTCCCCTGGGGAGAGTCCCCCTACTGCCCTCACTGCCCCCACTCGCCAGGCTTGTGCCCTCTGCAGGGAACGCAGAGAACAGGGATTTATAGCTCGTGCTGGGCCCATGCCCGAGGGTGCGTCTGTGGGGAGAGAAAGGGCTGGGGACAGGGATGTAGGACTTTTCTTGTTGGTCCTGAGCAGAAAAGTTTTGACATCACCATCTCTTACCTCCCTACCTAAGCCTTAAAGTAGAATTCCGGCTGGAAAATGGTTTTGTGAATTTAAATTGTTTTCAAGCAAGGGGAGATAGGCGAAATCATTCTCTCTCCCTAATTAGGAGGATGGATGGAGCTGAGGACTCCCCGGGAGGGAACTGGAAGGAAGATTTCACTGGGGGTCAGCAGGGCAGCTCAATCTATGAAAAAATGCCAAATAGTTGATGTTTATTAGGAAAAACTGCTCCCTGCTATATACCCTTCATAAGGCTAGTTAATTCCCCCGTGAGCACATGCATTCTGAATCTCTGTATTTCAGAGAAAATACCCAAAGCTTGCACCCACACCACCTTCCAAAACAGGATTAAAGAGATGTCCTCCTGAGCCATGTTGAGATTGGTTTAGAAATCTCTTGAGTTTTAAGACTGTTTAAAAACGGTTCTGGCTTGGAGACTGGTTTCCCTTTGGAAACCAGTGTCTGGTGGAAGCTGGTATTTTTATAACTCTAGGCTCTCTATCAGATCCTGTGTTACCATGGTTGCTAAGGGGAACACTGGCTTCAAATTTCACATTTCAGTTTGCAGAGTCTGGCTAAGGAAGCAGAACAGTCAAAGGGTGGGGGCTGGGGAGAGGGTCGGGAGTGGAGGTGGGGTGGGTGGGAGACTCCAGTTCTATCTTGAGGAGGTCAAGGATCCAGGCAGCTTCAGATGGGGCCGCTTCCGTGTGTTTATGTGTGTATGTTTGGGGCGTGGGGGTCTGGGTAGGTCGGCGTCACCCCGCTGAGTTAACTTCACTGTGTGTGCTGAGCGGAAGAGGGGAACGAAAGCTCTGGAGGGGACAAAGCGGGTGGGAAGTTATTTCGGCGGAGGTTACAGGAATGGTCGCTTAAGCTGGGGTATTCATAGCAGCAGCTGCTGGCCCTGCAGGGACTCCGATGCTAAGCCAGTGCCCAGGGGCTGGGTACCTGGCCCTAGGAAGGCTACATTCTCAGAGGAACATTCCAGGCGGGGTCTGTGCCTAAGATTAGGGCTGGAATAAACTGTTCATGCAGAAAGGTTCTCCTGATTTTTCAAGCTGCATTCTAGCCCTTCACTTCCTGCTAAGTCTTTTTGTTTGACCGTTACAGTCAGAACAAATTTAAAGGCAATCAGGAGCTGGGGAGTTGCTCTCTGCCGGGATGCCCTTTGAGGTGGCTCTCCTGCCTCCTCGCCTCTTCCTCCATCTGGGCTCCCACCTTCCCTCTCCTGCCCACGCTTTATTTGGAGCACTGCACTCCTCCGGGCACTGAGTTACCCGTGGGCTCCTCTGGCTAGAGACTGCTCCAGATTTAGTTGACTTTGTTATCTCAGCACATTTCTAGCAAGCAATGTGTCCAGGAGACTTTCCAGTTTAATAAGGAAGTAGCATTTTTCTCATTGTTTGTTGAATGAATAAAGGAATGCTCCTTTGTTCCTTCCATGGTGTTGCTTTCTGGCTTAAAACCTTTCCAAGGTTCTTGGAGTCATCCTGCATTCACTAGAACACCTCTGGTGAGAGCCGGAGCTGGCCACGGCTCGCTCATCGGGCCCTCTCTTTACCACCCAGATGGGCCATGCTTATTCTGGCCCCCACGCCTTGGCTCAAAGGCTCCTTCCTGGAGGCTTTCCCCATTTCCCCCATGCCTGTCCACAATCCACTTTCCCTTAAGCCCCAGCTCCCCTGCCCTTTGTCCCCGGCGGCTCCCCACCTCCTTCCCCATTCCATTTCCCCACATTCATCCAGCTTACAATCCATCATAAGTGTTCATGGCTGCTTAATTTCAGGAGGATTGCAAGCTCTTCGCTGAAGGATCACAACTTATATCCCTCCTTCTGGTACTACTAGGAAACTTCGCAGTTCAATAAGAAGCATTGTCTCAAACTAAATCATTGCTTGTTGAATGAGCACAGACTCCGAGCAACATGCAGCCGGGGTTCCATGACAGATGAGACCTAGCCTGTCCCCAGGTAGCAACGAAAGACTGAAATGATTTAAAAGCAACCAAGAAAGGGTCACAAGGCATTAATACAGCCACCTGGCAAAGAGCATATCTGGAGACAGACGTTGACAGCCCCGGGTGGACATTAGTTCTATAGGATGTTGTAAGAGGAATGAATCCAGGCAGGGTGAGGAGGCGGTGGGAAGTGAGCCCGGCCCTGAAGGTGGGCAAGAGCCAGGCAAGAAGAGGAGAAAGATTGTTCTCATGGTGGGAGGAATGCAAGGCCACCTATGGAAATACAAGTGGAGCAGTTTGGCTGGAGAAAGGGGTTGTGTTTGCTTATGGAGGCCTTGGATGCCCCGTTGGGAGAATGGACCTCACTTTCTGGGGCTGACTGTGTTGCGATTTTTTTTCTCTTGAGCCATGCCTGGAACACGGTTTGTATTCAACAGCAACACACAAACTGACAGTTCCCTGCAAGGCTGTCATATGCCACTTGCTTCACAGAAACACCTCGCTTATTTTAAGCCTGAAAACAAAGCCACAGGATGAGTATTATTCTCATTCCTATGCTACAGATAAGAAAATCGAGGTTTCAAAAGACGGAAGAATGAGGTTAAAGTCCCACGGCTAGTAAGTGGCACAGCTGGGATTCAAACTCAGGTCTCTCTGGCTCCTAAGGCTATGCCCCTCACCCAAGGGTTTTTGGCTGGTCAGTGGATGCTCACTGAATGCACCTAGGATGCTGAGACTATGTTCCTTAACCTTGGCCGGACATTAGAATCATTTGGAAAGCTTACATATCCCTGCCGAGCAAACCCCATTTTCAGGAAGTTTGGTTTAATTGGTTGAAGAAGGGGTCTGAGAGTTTGTAATGTAGTAAAAGCTTCTCAAGTTGCAGGGCTGAAGATAATTCCCCATGGATCCAGCCAGCAAATCTCTGCTCCCCATCAGAGTTCATTGTTACCCCTGGGGAACAGACTATCTTGGTCACTTCTGGCCAAAGTGGGTCCTGCCCTGGCCTCTGCTGGGTAGCTGAATGCCCTGCTCTTGGGAAAGGAGGAATGGTCCGCCTGGAAAGGTGCCTCTGAAGAATGTGTTGCTTGACTCTGTGAAATAGCAGAGGCTCTCCACCCACACCCGCTTCATCTCAGCCTTTTCCGAGGTCAGATTTCCCCTGGAGCCAAAACAATGTGAGCAATTGAATGCACACTCACGCAAAAAGTTTAAAAAGTGGCTCTCTCATTGTTGCACAGAGCAATTTCATTTCCTGAGAAGCCTGACTTGCTGGCCTCTGTGTTCTCCTCCCTGGCCTGTGCCTGCCCACCTCCTCTAGGAGCGCAGCCAGTTGTGTCCCTTGGGGGCACCCCTCAGAGACACCCCTCAGAGGCATCTGCCCTCTCCCTGCCCTTCCCTTGGAAAGGGCAGGGAGGGGCAGATGGGATTTCTGGGGCCTGGAGGGGAGAAGAGCCAGGGGGCAACCAGAGGGAGAGGTTGGTGGGGATCAGGAGGTGGGTACAGAGAGATGGGAGATTCCTGGCAGAAAGCGCCCTGCCTTCCTCCTTTACTCCACTCCTGACCTCTGGCTATGGCTGCTGGACTCCAAAGAGACAGGAGGGTTGGAATTATGGGTAGGGATGAGCTGGGGGGATTGGATGGAGAGAAGAAAGGTGGGATGTTCAGGGGAGAGAGAGGATGAGAGGAAGTGGAGGAAAACAGGCGCATGGAACTTTGTTGAAAATTCCCCTGCTTGGCTGGGTGCAGTGGCTCACGCCTGTAATCTCAGCACTTTGGGAGGCCGAGGTGGCCAGATCACCTGAGGTCAGGAGTTTGAGACTAGCCTGGCCAACATGGCGAAACCCCGTCTCTACCAAAAATACAAAAAATTAGCTGGGCGTGGTGGCGGACGTCTGTAATCCCAGCTCCTTGAGAGGCTGAGGCAGAAGAATCGCTTGAACCCGGGAGGCGAAGAAGGTTGCAGTGGGCAGAGGTTGCACCACTGCACTCCAGCCTGGGCGACAAGAGTGAAACTCTGTCTCAGAAAAAATCAAAAAACAAAACAAAAAAAAAAAGGAGAGAAAAGAAAATTCCCCTGCCAGAGAAATTTTCAACAAAGGACTTTAAGTAAGGGGCTCAGAGAGAGGCATTCAATGATAACCTAGAAGAGCCTCACAACAACACCACGGGATCACAGAGGCACGGAGAGGCGGAGGAGGTGGAGAGCATTGTAGGGTCAGGGAATGAAGGCTCTAGACAAGCCAGACCCACAGCCTGGCATGTTGGCTCAGAGATACCAGCTGATGGGGAGATGACAACCCTTTGCTCAGGCCATAAACAATAATTGCACCCCTCCTGTGTGTGCAGCCCTCATAGTCACAGTTAGGCTGAGGACCTGGGCAGGAGAAAGAGGTCCTTAGAATGCTATTATAAAATGCTCATGGGATGTTTTTCCATTTGTTTGTGTCTTTTTTCATGTCTTAAAATAATATGTTATAGTTTTCAGTGTACAAGTTTTTTACTTCTTTGGTTGACTCTATTCCTAAGTATTTCTTTTGGATGCAATTGTAAGATTGTTTTCCTAATTTCCTCTTCAGATAGTGCACAGAAATAGAAAGGATTTTTGTATGTTGATTATGTTTTTTGCAAATTTACTGAATTCATTTATTAGTTCTAGCAGTTTGTGTGTGTGTGTGTGTGTGTGTGTGTGTGTGTGTGTGGAGTCTTTAGGATTTTCTATATATAAGATCATGTCATCTACAAACAGAGACAATTTTATGTCTTCCTTTCAGATTTGGATGCTTTTTATTTCCTTTTCTTGTCTAATTGTTCTGGCTAGGATTTCCAGTACTATGTTGAATAGGAGTGGTAAGAGTGGGGATCCTTGTGTTATTCCTGATCTTTGATTGGAAGATTTAATATTGTGAAAATGTTCACACTATTCAAAGCAATCTGCAGATTCAATGCAATCCCTATCAAAATCCCAGGGGCATTTTAAAAACAGAAGTATAGAAAACAATTCTAAGATTCACTTGGAAATATAAAAGAGCCCAAATAGCCAAAGCAATCTTGAGTGAAGAAGAACAAAGCTTGAGGCAATCACACTTCCTAATTTCAAAATGTATCCCGAAGCTACAGCAATCAAAACAGTATGGTACTGGTATGAAAACAGGCATATAGACCAATGAAACAAAATAGAGAGTCGAAAAATAAATCCACACATTTACAGTCGACTGATCTTCAACAAAGGTGCCAAGAACACACAATGGGGAAAAGACAGTCTCTTCAATAAACGGTCTTGGGAAGACTGGATATCCACACGAAGAAGAAATTATACTCTTATTTCATACCATATACAAAAATCAACTCAAAATGGATTGAAGACTTAAATATAAGACCTGAAACTGTAAAACTACTAGAAGAAAACATAAAGAAAAAGCATCTTGACGTTGGTCTGGACACTTTTTTTTTTTTGGATATGACTCCAAAAGCACAGGCAACAAAAGCAAAAATAGACAAGTAGGATTGCATCAAACTAAAATGCTTCTGCACAGCAAAGGAAATAATCAGCAGAGAGAAAGACAAAGTATGGAACAGGAGAAAATATTTGCAAACCATACATCTGATAAAGAGTTAATGTCCAAAATATATAAGGAACTCCTAAAACTCAATGGCAAAAAACCTAATAACTCAATTTAAAACTAGTCTAAGAATTGGAATAGACCTTTCTCCAAAGAAGACATGGAAAATGGCCAGCAGGTATATGAAAAGATGCTCAATGTCATTAATCATCAGGGAAATGCAAATTAATTAAAGCCACAATGAGATATCACCTCATACCTGTTAGAATGGCTGTGAGCAAAAAAAACAAAAGACAAACTGGTAAGGATGGAGAGAAATTAGAACCCTTGTACACTGTTGGTAGAAATGCAAAATGGTGCATCTGCTGTGGAAAACAAAATGGAGGGTCCTCAAAAACTTAAAAATAGAGCTGCCATATGATCCAGCAATCCCGCTTCTGAGTATTTATCCAAAAGAGCTTGAATCAGGATTTTGAAGAGATATAGCACTCTCATGTTCATTGCAGCTCTATTCACAATAAGCCAAGACACGGAAACAACCCAAATGTCCATCAGCAGATAAATGGATAAAACAATGTGTGTGTGTGTGTGTGTGTGTGTGTGTGTGTGTTGGGGGTGGGGGTGGGGAGATGAAGAGTGGTTGGGTAATGGGTACAAACATACAGTTAGATGGAATCAGCTCTAATGTTTGATAGCACAGTAGGGTGACTATGGTTAACAACAATGCATTATATATTTCAAAATAGCTAGAAGAGAGGACTTGAAATGTCCCTAAGACATAGAAATGATAAATACTCGAGGTGATGGATATCCTAAATTCCCTGACCTGATCATTACACATTCTATGCATGTAACAAAATATCACATGTACCCCATAAATATGTACAAATATTAACCTCCAAGAAAAAAATTTTAAAGTGGTATATACATACGATGGAATACTATTCAGCCTTTACAAAGAAGGAAACTGCAATATACAACAACATGGATGAACTCTGATGACATTACTAAATGAAATAAGCCAGTCACAGAAGAACGAATACTGCATAATTCCATTTACATGAGGTATCTAAAATAGTCAAATTCAAAGAAGCAACGAATAGTGGTTGCCAGAGGCTAGGGGGAAGTGCAGATGGGGAGTCGCTAATCAATGGGTGAAAGTTTAAGTTATGCAAGATGCATATGTTCTGGAGATCTGCACAACATTATGGCTATGGATACAATACTGTACTTTATCCTTAGAAACCTGTGAAGAGGGTAGATCCATATTCAGTATCCTTACCACAGTAAAACTAAAAATAGAAATTCAAAAATATTTAAAAAATAAAAAGGAGCTTGCTAAGCAAATATGAGTTGTAAATAGCAGAGCAAGGAGACTCCTGCAGCTACAGATGACCAATAATCTTCTTCAATCACTTTGAAAACCACCTCGGCAGAAACTATTTGTTCTTAAACAAGAAAAGCACACATTGAAAATTCTTCTTTTTCATCTCTGGAAGAAGGATCTCTGATTGGCATGTTAGTTGGGGCAAAAATGGAATCAATTCCACCAAGATCTACTGGGATCCTACCATATAGGTGCTGAGTTATGCACCAAGAAAACAAACAGAGTAGCCCCTGCTCTGCCTGCAAGGCAGTGAAATGGGGTGGTCAGATCTGGATTCCAGGACTGATTCTACCGCTTGGTGGCTGTGTGGCCCTGAGCAAGTTGCCTGACCTCTCTGCTCTCCTCTGAAAAATGGGGATGATAATCTTCAAAGTGCTGTCTGAGTTAAAAGAGAAAAGAACACACGAGGCACTCGATTGAGATGGAGGCGTCCATGCAGTGAGATGTGCTGCTACCGTTACTGAACACTACTACAAGGCAACGTGAAGAGGCTGGGGTGAGGATGGAGCAGTAAGGACAGAGGACACTTCCAGGTCCCTTAGGAGGAAGCTGTTGGTGTGCTGAGGGGGTGCCACACAGAAAAGGTGACTTCAAACTGGGCCTAGGAAGAAGTGTCAGGGACAGGAAGACAGAGAGGCAGAGATGACTCCAAAGTTTCAAGCTTGAGTAACTTAAAGAATGGTTAATTTGATGAGGTCAGGGTGTGAAAGGATGTCCCCAGGGACTCCCAGAGAGCTGGGTGTCCTCCAGGCTGAGGCGCCTGGGGACTAAGCACATGCTTGAGCTAAAGGAGCGTGGGGACCGAGTAAGCTTGGACCTCAGAATGAAGGGGGCCTCTGTGAGCACAAGGACCCCCAGACGGGCTGGATGGTGAGGACTTTGCATCTATCCCTTGGGTTTGTCCTCACCCTCAGCAAGACCCTTCACTCAGAGATGGCCTGTGGGTTTGGGTTTTACTCAGAAGCAGCAAGGAAAGCACTGCAGGGGAGCCCCGGGGGTACAGACGCAGGGGATGGAGTGAGTGACTTGACAGCGGAAAGGCCGTGGCGTGGGTTCTGGGGCTGCTACCTGGCTGCAGGGAGGCAGGCAGCATGGGTGGGGGCCTGCATGAGAGCTGCACTGAGCAGGGGGTCTTGGGGTGCAGTTCTGACCACATCCTTTTGGAGGGTCCTGAGGTATGACCTGGGACAGGTGTAGTGGGCAGCTGGAAATGTGGGCCTGCGGGTGGTTCTGGGAGTTGGGGGGATCTCAGGGCAAAGTGGGTGCTGTGGATTTGGGGTCAGACATCTACATGGCCCCAGGGGGAAAGCCTAAGCTTTTCCAGCATGGAGGGGGCTGCAGCTGTGCCTTTGGCTCTGGAAACTTCCATAAGCCGGCTCAACCTGCTTTAGGGATGTAGGTCAAGCCTGGTTATGAGGCAGCAAATGGCTTGAAGAATTCAGGGGTCCCTACGGAGCTGCGAAAGGCAACAGGCTGTTCACAAGGATTGTTGAGATCCGTAGGGCACCCCTTTAAGTCCCCATCTTTTCTTTTGGCCCAGTTTTAGGGAAGCCAAGATTTCTCCTGGAAAGAGCCCTACCTGGAGTTCAGGAGCTCCAGACCAGCTCTGGCATGGACCAGCTGTTTGTCCCTGGGCAGGACACTCAGCCCAAGTAGCCCTTTAAGATTAGGCATGTGCTCAGCCCCTAGGCCCCATCAGCCTAGATGACAACTAGCTCTCTGCCAGACGCCGTGCCCCGGGCACTTCCTTCCATCCTCCGGCCTCGTTGTCCCTAGTGCACTTAGCTGTCTCTCCATGCCTTGCCACCCTCCCTGCACCTTGCAGAGAAAGCAGCATGAGCACCATTTACAGATGAGGAAGCCAAAGCTCAAAGCAGGTAAATGCTTCCCAACGTGGTGCAGTTGATGAACAACAGAGCCAGGATGTGAACCCTGCTGCAGCCCGGCCCTAGTTAGCTTGGTACATGGGGCTCTGCCCTCTTCTTTTACAAATTGGAGAAGACCATAGGTGATTTATTTATTCTTCAAGTTTACCATGAGCATTGGATGGGTCTGTGTTTGTCAAACTGGCCCGAAAATTTGAATGCATCCAACAAGTGTGCGTTAGGCGTGGCTCTTTGTTCTTGTCTGCACACATCTCCTGGCACCTCCGGATCTCACACTGGAATATTTGCACTACCTCAGGCGGTGTTAAAAGTGTCCCAGCAGCCAGGGCCGGCGCTCGGCTACAGCCTTGCCTCCCTCTCGGAGGAGCAGGTGACGACAACACCAGGAGGTGTCCAGATCACGCAGAGGGAACGTGTTGGGGCAATTCAGGTCACTGCCCTAGAACAGTGCTGCTCCCTGTCTCGAGGTGGGTTGTCCAGGGCACAGGGCAATGCAGGCAAGGATGGGAGGACCCAAGAGGCCACGCAGGCCCGCTCCTAGCCTCCATGTCATTCCAAAGGGTGCAAAAAGCAGAGCTGCCAGCCCTCCTGGAGCTGCATTCTGAGCTCAAGGCACTTTGAGAGTGAAACAAAGTCAGGAGAGGCCATTGTCTGAATCTGCGAAACAAATCTGATTTCAAGTGCATTTGTTAAGAAATGTGGTTTGGGTACATGGAGTGGCAGAGGCTCATGGGTTTACAAAACACCCGAGAGAGAACTGTGTGCTCTGTGCTTGTCTGGAATGAGCATGCTATTGTTCTATAAACGGATGCTTCAAAAACACTCATAAATACACTCCCTCCCTTCTCTTAAATTGCTCTATTATTGTCTTTCTTTCAAAACCATAAAGATGCCCCTTGACCCCACAGCTCTCCTTCCCTGCTGCCATTCACAGAAAAACTTCTCGAAAGACGTGTCCACACTCCTGTCCTCACCTCCGCTGACACCCAGGGCCCGTGACCTGCTTGTTGCCAAACCCAGGACACTTTTCTGTCCTGGTCCTTTGATTCTCAGGAGGCTGTTCCTCCTTGTGTCCTGGTAGCCCCTGCAGAGGCCTGCCGGTGGTGGGAGGGTACAACATGGGGGAGGCGTCCAGGTCCCAGTGAAGGGCTGCTGTGAGGGTTCTTACACGCCCCCTTCCTCTCCCTCTCCATCTATACTCTCTTCCTGCGTGGTTCCATTTGGTCCCCAGCTTTGAGCACCAGGTGCATATCGATACTTCCCAGAACCCTCTATCCCCTACCTCCATGCGTGACCTCTTCAGGATCTCTAGACCCTTCCACCCGGCCAACCTCCGGGCAGTTCCCTAGGGACAGCTAACAGGCGACTCAAACATAACTGACTCTTGCTTTTCATCCCCATTCTATTTCTCATCCAGTATCCTCCATCTCAGAAAATGGGGCCACCAGGCTGGTAAACGGGGAGCCCATGTCCCCTCCTCCCTTCCCTCCAACTCACATTACCGAGTCCTGCTGGCTCTAACTCAGAAATTCAACTAGAGCCTAAACGTGCTCTTCGCCCTCACTCCGAGGCTGTCTTCCAAGCCACCAACCTCTTGCTGCGCAGCCTAAGCAGCCCCACTCGGCTTCCAGCTTCCACTTTGCCCCCTTTCAATTCTCTCCCCTGACAGCAGCCAGAGGGGTGTAGAAAGTGAGTTATAATATCTGGCAGTGCAACCACCTGCTAAATTCCTGCTTCTCAAAAGTTCCTTGGTCATTCTTGTTTCTTTCTTTTTCAGATGAAATTTAGAAGAAAATATGTTTTCATAGAATAAATAATCCAGTGGCAAACCAGTCCAATCCAATTCCAAGATCGCTCATTGAGACAACACTTACCATAGGCCTCCCCTCTGCAGCCAGTGCTCCCGATTGGGAATGACTGGAGCCTCAGTTCACAACACCCCACGGGGGAAGGGGGTGCTGGTTCCCTTTATATAAACCCAACGAAGAAAGACCTGGCTTTGGGGAGCAGAAGTGACTGCTGTTGCACATCTCTTTGCTGAAGGATGGGCCCCCTTTTTTTTTTTTTGGAGACCGAGTCTCGCTCTGTCGCCCAGGCTGGAGTGCAGTGTGCGATCTCGGCTCACTGCAGTCTCCACCTCCCAGGTTCAAGCAATTCTCCTGCCTCAGCCTCCCGAGTAGCTGGGATTACAGGCACCCACCACCACGCCTGGTTAATTTTTGCATTTTTAGTAGAGATGGGGTTTCATCGTGTTTGCCAGGATGGTCTCGATCTCCTTACCTCAGGTGATCCACCTGCCTTGGCCTCCCAAAGTGCTGGGATTACAGGTGTGAGCCACCGTGCCTGGCCCGGATGGGTCCCTTTCTAAGTGAGCCTACCCTCACAGCTTTGTCCCAGTTATCTGAGACGCATTCCAGACCTGGTGCTGTCTGGCTGTGCAGGGGGCACAGGCGGCAGGTCTCTTACCTCCCTGAGGCAGGTGTAGATGGGGCACACGAGCACACGGAAGGGCTCGCCTGTGCTGCTGCGCATGGTGCCGAAGACCTCGCACAGGAAGGTGATGAAGCCCAGCCAGCGCTCCACGTCCTGCTGCTGCAGCTCCTCGCGCACCGTGAAGTCCTTCTGTGGAGGCATGAGAGACCGCGTCAGCCTCCCGGGGCTGGGGAGGGGCCTGGGTGCCACCCTGCTGTGCAGAGCATCTGTTGTCTTGGGGCTGCTCCTGGGCAGCAGGCAAACCCCATGTTTTAAATGAGGATGGGGGTGCGTGATTGCACTCTCTGTGGCTGGGACCACCCTGACCTGGGGCCATAACACCTCTTCTTCAGGTGTCCCCAGGTTGGGGACACAGCTTCCTTGCCTCTAGGCATTGCCCAGACCTGCTGGTCATCCTCCTTCACTGACAGCAATGCTGATGTGGGAGGATGAGGTAGAACGGGAGGTGACACCCTCCCCAGACTCAGCACTTTTCCACTTAACTCCCTGTGGCTAAACCGTCTCCCTTTGCTAACCCCCAAGTCATGCCCTCTGCGTGGTGGACTGGGGGTAACCAGAACACTGCCCACCCACACATCATCAGCAGTGGCAACAGAGGACCATGTGGGCTAGCGCCCCAGCACTGGGCTACACAGCTACAGCCCGTCCCTCGAGGGGCCTAGGCATTCATTCGTTCATTCATTCATTCATCCTCCTTAAAAATATTATTGCCCCATTGTGTGACAGGCTCTGCACTAGGAGCTAAGATAAGACATATTCATTCATCACTGTGATACAAGAGAAGAAAGTATAAAAAACCAAGGAGCTGGGTTCCATGGGATGGTCGCTAGGGAAGGTTTTGGGGATGGGGCCATGAAATACCACAGTCATACCAGTGCTCAACAGAAAGGTTAATATAGCTAAGGTGTGGAGACCACACAGGAGGCCACTGCAAGCATCCAGGCAGGATGAAATTAAAACCTCAGCGCTCTGAGAGCTGAAAGATAAGAATCTGGGGTAGCTTAAATAATATTCAGAAAGATATTTCCCCTACCTCTTGTCTTTGGTTTTGGCCATATGTCTTGCTTTGGCCAATAGAATGAGGCAGGAGTGATGGTGTGCCAATTCTGATGTGAGGCGTTAAATATTTATGTTGACTTTCATGTTTCTTCTGTCATCCTAAGAAGACTCTCTCTGGGCTAGCCTGATGGTCCCAGGGAGAAGGTGGGCAACATATGCGACAGGGCCTCACCTAAGTCTAGCCTAGGTCAGGTGACCCCCAACCAACCTGCACACACACCATCTACATGCACGCTTACTGCTGCGTGCCACTGAGATTTTTATGGTTGTTTGTTCAGCCTCAATAGCTGACCAATACAGGAGTGACACAAGAGACATTGTGAAGGTCAATAGTACTTGCTAAGTGGTGGGTTGTAAGGGTTGATGGAAAGGGGAGACTCCAAGATGACGCCAAGATTCTTGGTCTGGGTGACTGTGTCACCACCAAAATAGAACATGGGAAGACAGGTTGTAGAATGTGACTCAGAGCATTCCCACAGCCCAGTCCCCCACACCACTGCTGACTTCAGCCAAGCATCCTTGGCACCAGAATCTCAGCATCTCCAGAGATGGAAGGCCCTCAGAGATGACTTGGTTAACATCTGTCCCTTGTGAGTGATGAAGGTGCAATCTAGAGGGTGGGCCTTGGTCTCCTCAGGTGGCAGGTCAGGGGCTGGCTGAGAAGCCCTGCAGTGCCAGCTTTGGATGAGCCTAGGCCACAGCTTATAATGACCTGAGTTTCATCAGTTACAAAAAAGTATATACTTGTGTGTGTATCTATAACTATTTTGATATCTATATTTATATGTAAAACAGTAACAGCAGCAGCTGCTATTTGTGAGCCAGACACTGAGCCAAGGATATTAATTGTGGTATTTTACATAGTTATCACAATGGTCCTATAAGGCAGGTCCTATTACTGCCCCATTTTATAGATGGAGAATCTGAGGATAGAGAAGTTGTGTAACTTGCCCATGACTATGAGCCAGTGGCAGGGCTGGGATTCAAACTGACGTCAGCCTGCTCTGGAGACCAAACATTTTTTCTCCTTATGGTGTTTTTTATTTTTCAAAAAATGTTTTTGTGTATATTTAAGGTATACAACATGATGCAATGGGATACATATAGGCAGTAAAAAGGTTACTATAGTGAAGCAAACAACATATCCATCATCTCACAGTTACCCATTTTTGTTTTGTTTGTTTTTGTGGCAAGAGCAGCTCTTATGGTGTTTTTAAATTGGAAAGTAGTGCATCAGAGCCCACGCTTAGTCACTCTCCAAGTCTGTACTTTCCACGAAGCCATTTGTCCACACGGTCCCTTGTAAGTGCAGCCATGCCTGCAGACCTCATGGGCCTCATATTGACCCCTCAGGCCTCCTGCCTCCCCACTCCTTTCTCACTGAATTGTCCACCTGGGTATGATTGTAGAGTTCTGCTGTTTATCTTTCACCCAGGGTGAAAAGGGACCACAAGAGACTCCAGGGACCCCGCAAGTAGTGCGTGCCCAGCATCTTTGACAGCTTTGTCTCTTCTCCCTAGTCCAGAGCCTGGAGCAGGCAGTGTTCACAGGGGGTCCTAGCTGTTCAGGGTCTTTGTGAATGAATGAATTACATTGCCTGCCACCCCAGGGCCTGCCAAGGACCCTGCACTACTGGGCTTGAAGTCACACATCTTTTGGTGGTTTCATTCTCATGAACCTTTGTTTATCCCACAATATTCTTATGTGATCTGAGCAAGAGTGGGCATTACCATTCTCATTTTAAAATGGGGACAACTAAGGCACAAAGATATTAAAAGACATGACTAAGGCCACACAGT
The DNA here is from genome assembly GCF_000001405.40 of Homo sapiens. Taxonomy (NCBI): domain Eukaryota; kingdom Metazoa; phylum Chordata; class Mammalia; order Primates; family Hominidae; genus Homo; species Homo sapiens. The sequence continues at coordinate 303,761 of NW_013171814.1, read as the reverse complement.
ACTAGAACTTGAATGAAAAATTAAGCCCCTTCTCTGCTCTGGGTTAAACGCTCTTGCCCTGGTTGTACATTGGAGTCACCTGGAGGAACTCTGAGGCTGCTGATGTTGGGACCCCACCCCGGAAAGTCTTGTGTAACTGGTCAGGGTGGGGCTCAGACACTGGTAATTTTTGGCAGCTCCCCAGCTGATTCTAACGTGCAACCATGGCTCTGAACCACAACTCTAGGCCTTTATCAAGTGCTAACTCGGGTGTTAAAATGGTGCCCCTCTATCAACCCCCAGCTTGTCATTTCCTTATATTCCCTAAAAATACCCATGAAGGCACACATCAAAGAACAAAGTCCCACAGCAACACTGAGAAGGAAGATAACAGTTCCCCAGCAGACTCCTCCCAGACTCAGGAGGTGACATCATTAACTAAAGTGCTGTCACCAACAAATTCTGGTTGCCCAGGGGACCCAGAAGACCAAAGACAGGGGGTAGCTTGAGGCTTCAGCCCCTTCCTCTATCTGTCTCTGGCTGGTAGACAGTATCTGTCAGTACTAGCAAAGCCCTGTGCCTGTGTATTAAGGCAGCTCCCATCTGCACCACCCTTATTCCAGGCCTTGGAGATTCGGGGCAGTGCAGGGGCAGGAGGAGACTGGGTGAAATGCTGTGTCCTTTAAGGGATGGTGCTCTCAGGCAAAGCCCTCTGGGGCAGGAAAAAACTTGGAGGCAGTGTGTACAAGGAACTGAAGTTTTAAAAAATAGATTGCATCTGATCAAAGAACTAGCTCTTGACTCAGTTTCTTCCTGATCATCCATGGCATCAAGAGAGCATTCTGTTTTGGGCTAGCAAAGGTTACTAGGAGATTGAATGCCTGCTAAATATTGGAAATTGGATTTGAGATGAGCTCATGAAGCCACCCTCCAGCTTTAGGTCTGAGAGGGAGACTCTGCCTAAGCAGACACCAAGCTAGTCCAAGGCTGATGCGCACAGCAAACACAAAAGACCAGACAGGGGTGATCTCATTCAGGATTGAGGGAGGCGCAGAGCAATATGGCATCTACACAAAAATCCTGCCTGGCAGAATAAAGGAGCAGTGTCGTGAAAACTTAATGGAAATGTGTAACTCTGAACATATTAATGACAATCAACCAGATATAAATAAAATGAAAAACTCAAGTGCAAAACATGTGGGCTTGTATGTAAGGAGAATGACAATATAGATTCTATGATGTGTGAATAGGCATTCGAAGGAAGGGATTGTGATTAGCTAAGCAACTCTCAGGCTGAAATGAAGTGTGAGACAGGAACTGGGATTAGGAGAGAGCCAATGGAAACTAGAAATCCAACAGCAAAATCAAAATGAATTGGAGGCAGTAAAGGATAGAATGGATAATGCAGAAAAAGTAATGCAGAAGATAAACTTGGAAACCACCTAGAGAGCAGAATAGATAAATAGACCAGAAAGCTGAATACAAAGATAAATAGACTAGAAACAAAAAGAAAAACGATAGAGAAGATAGAGAGTGGACATCTAGTCTGTGAATTAGAGAAGTTTTCAAAAAGCATACCAGAATACACAGAACAAAGAGAGCAGAGAAATAAACTTTCTCACTGAAAATAAATAATAATAAAAATGAGTTGACTCTTTGGGTAAAAAGTGTTCACAGTGTTCCGGAAGTCCCTTGCCCTGCCCCAGTTTTACTTAGCGGAATAATTTTCTTTTCTTTTTTCATTTTTTTTTTTTTTTTTGAGACAGGGTCTCGCTTTGTTGCCCAGGCTGCAGTGCAGTGGTGCGATTAAGGCTCACTGCAGCCTCGACCTCTTAGGCTCAAGTGATCCTTCCACCTCAGCTTCCTGAGTAGCTGGGACTACAGGCATATAACACTATGCCTGGCTAACTTTTAAATTTTTTTGTAGAGACAAGGTCTACGTTGCCCCCGCTGAATTTTCTTTTTTAGTTTCGCAGAAAAAGAAAAATTTAAAAACAGCTACGAAGGAACAAAAGACAGTCTTCTTACAAAGGAAGAAAAATCTGGTTGGCCTTATACTTCTTTATTTGAGGTTAAAAATTCAGAGACATGAAGGCAACGTCTTCATGAGTTTGAAGGGAAAAGAACAAACCTGCCTATGAGTGAAAGCGAGAGAAAGATCTTACATAAGCAAGTTCTAAAACAAATCACTCCTACATGTTTATCTTAAAAAATTCAATGCTGCAGTTGCTATGAAAAATAGTATGGCCAGCTGGGCGCGGTGGCTCACACCTATAATCCCAGCACTTTGGGAGGCCAAGGCAGGTCGATCGCTTGAGGTCAGGAGTTCGAGACCAGCCCGAGCAACATGGTGAAACCCCGCCTCTACTAAAAATATAAAAAATTAGCCAGGTGTGGTGGTGGGTGCCTGTAATCCAAGCTACTCGGGAGGCTGAGGCAGGAGAACTGCTTGATCCCGGGAGGCGGAGGTGGCAGTGAGCTGAGATCATGCCACTGCACCCCAGCCTGGGGGACAGAGTGAGACTCCATCTCAAAAAACAAAATAGTATGGTGATTCTTCGAAAAATCAAAAACAGAATTACTATATGATCCAGCAATTCCACTTCTGGGTATATATCCAAAGGAAATGAAATCAGGATTTCAAAGAGATGTCAGTATGTAGCATTACTGACAAGAGGTGGGAGCAACCCAGGCATCCACCCACAGATGAATGGATCAACAATACGTGATATATACATACAGTGGAATACTATTCAGCCTTAAAAACAGAAAGAAATTCTGACACATGCTGCAACGTGAATGAACCCTCAGCACATTATGCAAAGTGAAATAAGCCAGTCACAAAAAGACAATACTGCATGATTTCACTTATGCAGGTATCTAAAGTAGCCAAACCCATAAACAGAAACGACAGTAGAATGGTGGTTACAAGGAGCTGGGGAGCAGGGGACATGGGGGGTTAATAGGTAGAGAGTTTCAGTCTTGCAAGATGAAGAAGTTTTAGAGACTGGTTGCATGAGAATGTGACTCTACACTATTGAACTGTACACTTAGAAATGCTTGAAATAGTATATTTTATGTTATTTTAAAACTACAATTAAAAATAATAAAAAATAAAAAGAACTTTCCGAATGCATGTTATGGCCAACAAAATTTATGATTTAACTCTGAGGAAACCATGGTATAGAAGAAACAGAAGGGAAAACTGAAACTACAACCAGGTAGACTTATTAAGTTAAGTTAAAATAAGTCATTATAATTTTGGTTATACAATGGAATCAAAAGCCAGAAATAATCCTTGGAAGAGAAGATATTTAATTTTAAAATGTAATTTAAATAAGAATTTTATAGTAGTAGTGACTTAATAATCCAAGATTAAATTACTAGAGATTAGTAAATACTGGTGGGAAGGGGATAGAAGTCTGTAAAGCACACAACATTTCCTAATTTAGGCCATAAGGATTCACAGGTTATTGCATCTTTCTTAAGCTTGGGAATCAGAGAAAAAAAATGAAAGTATGCCTTTAAAATGCTAAAAGTAAACACTAGTAACCACTAGCAGAACTGAAAACAGGATATAAAAAAATAAATGGATGGGTAAAAACAAGAGTGAGCAAATGAAAATAAAGTAGTAGTAAAAGGGAAGTATTTTTAAGATAACAATTATTAAATAAAATTATAAGGTTTTATATATAAAAATACAATCCATAATAAAGAGATAACACAAAATGTTATAGACTTTATAGTATAGATTTGAATATACCTGAAGCTATTGAAACATA
>NW_025791804.1:0-144689 GCF_000001405.40 Homo sapiens | reverse complement strand
ACCACACCCACACCCACACACCACACCCACACCCACACCCACACCCACACCCTAACCCTAACCCTAACCCTAACCCTAACCCTAACCCCAACCCCAACCCCAACCCCAACCCCAACCCCAACCCTAAACCCTCACCCTCACCCTCACCCTCACCCTCACCCTCACCCTCACCCTAACCTAACCCTAACCCTAACCCTAACCCTAACCCTAACCCTAAACCCTAGCCCTAGCCCTAGCCCTAGCCCTAGCCCTAGCCCTAACCCCTAACCCCTAACCCCTAACCCTCACCCTCACCCTCACCCTCACATGTAGATGAAAACTTTACAACTTACACAAATAATCACTCAAAATCATCCTTACACTAAAAATGCAAAACTATACAATTTCTAGAAGAAACTATAGAGGAAAAGCTGTGTGCCTTTGCGTTTGGTAATGAATTTTAACAAATGACACAGAAGGTTGATATACACAGAAGAAATGACAATGTGGATTTCTTAATATTTACAGTTTATACTCTGGAAGAGACCTTGTCAAGAGAACAAAAACACAAGCCACATATTGAAGAAAATATTTGCAAAATACAGATCTGAGAATTTGTATTCAAAATATATAAAAAATTGTTAAAACTAAACAATAAGTTAAACAACCCAATTAAAAATGCACACAGATCTGAACAGACACTTCACCAAAGAAGATCTACAGATGGCAAGTACACTTACAAAAAGATGCTCAACATACTAGAGAACTGAAAACCACAAAAAGATAGCACAGCTGGTCTATATCTCTTAGAACTGCTAAGCTCTTTAACAAATGACAAATTGCTGGAGGAAAAACAAGAACTCTTTTCATTGCCAGTGGAACACAGTGTATAAGACCAAACTATGCCACCCCAAAATATAATGGTAGGAAACCAGAATATGCAACCCCAAAATATGTCCCTTTGGCTTAAGAATTATTCCAAGCTAATTATTTTGGAAAAAAAAAATGCTAACAAAGGAAGTTGTGAAAATAAAGTAGAAGTTACTTGTGTAAGGAAAATTTACATCTATAAAGGAAATCACCATTTAAAAGCTACCTCTCTCAACACCAAGAAGAGAAGGATAACTAAATCACTGAAGAGTCTTATCAATGGAGAATGCATGGACTTAAGTCTGTATAACGAACCTTACCCTTGTCTAATGTGCTTTTGCTGGTTAACTCCCCACTACTGCACCTCAAATCTTCTTTCTTTAAGTTGAAGATAGTATTTATGCTTGAATTGAAAGCCACCTGTTGGAGATTTACTCATTTTTCCCTGAGTATCTCCCATGTAACCATAAGATATACATGTTTTTAAACTTTTCTCTTTTTCTCATTTTAATCTGTCAGTTTTTACAGAGCGTTCCATCTAAGAATTCCAAAAACAGAAAATTATTTTTCCTCCCCTATTACAAGTTGGGCATTTTTTTCCAAAGCTAAACAAGTCTCACCTTACAATCCAAAAATAACATTCCTAGGTATTTTGACAACTACTTTGATGTTATTTCCCATCAAAAGCTACCATGCAGTTATTTACAGAAGCCCTATTCATAATGACCAAAGGAAAAAAAAGGAATCAGAAAGTCTTACAATAGATGACTGTGTGGGAATCCACTCAGACATCAAAAGTTGTTATAAAGATTATTTAAATGAAAACATTTGAGATACTGAAGATGAAGAAATCTTACCAGAACTTACTTTATCCAATTAAAGCACAGCTCCCAGAAAAATACAGCTGCCATTAACCCCATCCAAGGAGTTTCTTGCAAATTCAGCTGCCATGAAGACAGCGTACTCTTTCCCATTAGCATTGATAAATGAAAATTAAATTCTAAGCTCCCAACTGACTGAACAGACCCACTCTTGGCTGAGGGGACCCCAGAGTAACTTTCAAAACTGAGTTCTCAGCTTTGCTAGGATGGGATGATGGGGTTAAGATACACATCGTTATACCCCCTCCTTTGCTAACCATGATGAGGCTTTCTTCCCTAAGGATTTAACAGAAACCAGCCCTTTCAAAGCCTCCACCACTGATATCAACCTCTCCTTTCTTCCCTGATAAGAGACCACCCACGATGGAGAGGTTCTGGCCAGCGTACAGAGGATGCACAGAGCAAGTTTTCATGTCCTCTACTTCACCTTTTAATGTCAGAGGGCTGAAAACTCCACCCTGGGATCATGCTAACACTGCCATTTTTTGTACATGGGACCCATGAAGAAGCAAGAAACTCAATTGTGCGTGCATGCATTTCTCCTTCCATAAATATTCATGACTCCTCCTAGAGCTTATTAAATAAATCTATTTGGCCATTCCACTCAGCATAAGTTGCTATTTCCTTTACCTCCTCCTTGAAGCATCTGTTTCTGGCTTCTGGCTGGAGGCTATGCTTCCCAGCCTGTCAGAAGGACAACCCTGCAGGCTACAACCCTTTATAGAAAATAAATCTCTCACTGGGTGGGTGGCTCATGCCTGTAATCCCAGCACTTTGGGAGGCCGAGGTGGGTGGATCACCTGAGGTCAGGAGTTTCAGACCAGCCTGGCCAACATGATGAAATCCTGTCTCTACCAAAACTGCAAAAAATTAGCCAGGTGTGGTGGTGGGCATCTGTAATCCCAGCTAATCAGGAGGCTGAGGCAGGAGAATCGCTTGAACCCAGGAGGTGGAGGTTGCAGTGAACCAAGATCATGCCATTGCACTCCAGCCTGGGCAACAAGAGTGAAACTCTGTCTCAAAAAAAATAAAAATAAGCATAAAAATGAAGAAATGTCTCCTTTCCAAATTTATGAACCTCATCATTCTTCCGTTCACAGCATTAAAAGGTTCAAAAAGACCTTTCCATACTCTCCCACAGAAGCCCTAGAAATTGTCATTTTGTTCATCATTCTGGATGCCTGAGAACTTGTAATCCAATGAGTAGAAAGTTTGGTACCCCATTTATGGCTGTCAACCTGCCAGTTCTCAGGAGTTTGTATAAAAGCCTAAATCCGAAAGGATCTCATCCCATTAGGACCCTTGTCTCCTTTTCTGTTGCCTTTGCCCACTGGCTCTGGCAACAGGGGTCTTTCTTTCTCCTTGGCTATCTTTGGATATGGGGGCTCCGTCTTCTGTGCCACCTTAGGGAATGCCTTTTGCAGGCATGGCTAAGTCATTAAAAAGCCTACAGTTTTAGTAACATTTTGAGTGAGCACTCTCTGAAGCTGCGTTGGAATCTCAGGCTTCTTTGTCTGGAAGATAACTCTTGGGCTACAAGTTTCTTATCCTAGCTTTGGTTTTGAGGCCTCTCTGTTCTCCTCTTGGGTTGGAAGTTATTCCTGGCTTTTTGTTTCAAGGTGTCTGTGATCTTGATCTTGCTGCTTTCATGGGAACTTCTCACTTCACTAAATTCTCCCTTCTCAAACCTCTGCTGACTATGTGTTCCACCAATATGGAACTAATTCTACTTCTTTTCCTGTTTGCATGACTTTACTAAGAATTATTTACAACTTTAATGGCTCCTTTGAGAAAATTTTTATCTTCCAAATTGCCTCCTTTTAGACCTTTCCTTTCCCAGTTGAGTCTCTCAACTCCCTATAATCACTGAAACTTCAGGCACCCCACTCCATGCCTTGGAGGCTCTCAATGTGCTCAAGAATCTGCAAAAGCAAACACCTGGGGCTGAAGAATAAAATAGAAAAAAAATTATTTCTCAGCCTCCATAAGATTCTATGTCAAAAAAAAAGAAAATCTTTAAAATCTCCAAAAATATTGGTGAGAAAAAAGCCTTAGCCCTCATATGAAGAAGAAAAAACTTGTTCCATTTTCCAGATACATAGTTATAATACAAATATAAAATGGGGCAAAGACAAAAACCAAGTCTTCTATATAAACTAGTGAATTGTGTAGTTATTGTAATCACATTAGTCAGGGGTCTCCAGAAAGGCAGAATCAATAGGATATATGTAGACAGATGAGAGAAGATTCATTAGGGGAACTGGTTCACATAATTATGGAGGCTGAGAAGTTCCACAATAGCCTGTCTCCAAGTTGGAGAACCAGGAAAGCTGGTAGCATGGCTCACTCCAGATACAAAGGACTCAGAATCGGGGAAGCCAATGGTGTAACTCTGATTGTGAGGCCAAAGGTCTGAGACCCTGAAGTTCTGATGTCAAGGGCAGGAGAAGAAGGATGTTTCCATTTCAGAAGGAGATAATTCACCTTTCCTCTTCCTTGTTATTCTATCTGGGCTCTCAACCAATTGGATGCTGCCTGTATTCATCCATTTTTATACAGCTATGAAGAAATATCTGAGTCTGAGCAATTTATAAAGAACAAAGGGGTTTAATGGGCTGACAGTTCCACATGGCTGCAGGGGCCTCACAATCATGGCAGAAGGGGAAGCAAAGCTATCCCTCTTCACATGGCAGCAACAAGAAGTGCTGAGCCAAAGGGGAAAAGCCCCTTATAAAACCATCAGATCATGAGAACTCACTCACTGTCATGAGAACAGCATGGCGGTAACCACCACCATGATTCAGTCACCTCCCATTGGGTCCCTCCCACGACATGTAGGTATTACAGGAACTACAATTCAAGATGAGATCTGGGTGGGGACACAGCCAAACCATATCAGTGCCCATCCACATTGGGTCATGGTTATCTCAGTGTCTTCCAGAAACACCCTCATAGATATGCCCAGAAATCGTGTTTGACCAGCTGTGTGTGTCTCTCAATCCAGTCAAGTAGACGTCTACGATTAACCATCAGAATATTTATGCCTGATTCATGGCTGAAATCGTGTTTGACCAGCTATGTGTGTCTCTCAATCCAGTCAAGTAGACGTCTACAATTAACCATCAGAATATTTATGTCTGATTCATGGCTGAAATCCTGTTTGACCAGCTATGTGTGTCTCTCAATCCAGTCAAGTAGATGTCTACAATTAACCATCAGAATATGTATGCCTGATTCATGGCTGAAATCGTGTTTGACCAGCTATGTGTGTCCCTTAATCCAGTCAAGTTGATGTCTAAAATTAACCGTCAGAATATTTATGCCTGATTCATGGCTGAAATCGTGTTTGACCAGCTATGTGTGTCTCTCAATCCACTCAAGTAGATGTCTAAAATTAACCGTCAGAATATTTATGCCTGATTCATGGCTGAAATTGTTTGACCAGCTATGTGTGTCTCTCAATCCACTCAAGTAGATGTCTAAAATTAACCATCAGAATATTTATGCCTGATTCATGGCTGAAATTGTTTGACCAGCTATGTGTGTCTCTCAATCCACTCAAGTAGATGCCTAAAATTAACCATCAGAATATTTATGCCTGATTCATGGCTGAAATCATGTTTGACCAGCTATGTGTGTCTCTCAATCCACTCAAGTAGATGTCTAAAATTAACCATCAGAATATTATGCCTGATTCATGGCTGAAATCGTGTTTGACCAGCTATGTGTGTCCCTTAATCCAGTCAAGTTGATGTCTAAAATTAACCGTCAGAATATTTATGCCTGATTCATGGCTGAAATCGTGTTTGACCAGCTATGTGTGTCTCTCAATCCAGTCAAGTAGATGTCTACAATTAACCATCAGAATATTTATGCCTGATTCATGGCTGAAATCGTGTTTGACCAGCTATGTGTGTCTCTCAATCCAGTCAAGTAGATGTCTACAATTAACCGTCAGAATATTTATGCCTGATTCATGGCTGAAATCGTGTTTGACCAGCTATGTGTGTCCCTTAATCCAGTCAAGTTGATGTCTAAAATTAACCGTCAGAATATTTATGCCTGATTCATGGCTGAAATCGTGTTTGACCAGCTATGTGTGTCTCTCAATCCACTCAAGTAGATGTCTAAAATTAACCGTCAGAATATTTATGCCTGATTCATGGCTGAAATTGTTTGACCAGCTATGTGTGTCTCTCAATCCACTCAAGTAGATGTCTAAAATTAACCACAGAATATTTATGCCTGATTCATGGCTGAAATCGTGTTTGACCAGCTATGTGTGTCTCTCAATCCACTCAAGTAGATGTCTAAAATTAACCGTCAGAATATTTATGCCTGATTCATGGCTGAAATTGTTTGACCAGCTATGTGTGTCTCTCAATCCACTCAAGTAGATGTCTAAAATTAACCACAGAATATTTATGCCTGATTCATGGCTGAAATCGTGTTTGAACAGCTATGTGTGTCTCTCAATCCACTCAAGTAGATGTCTAAAATTAACCATCAGAATATTTATGCCTGATTCATGGCTGAAATCGTGTTTGACCAGCTATGTGTGTCTCTCAATCCGATCAAGTAGATGTCTAAAATTAACCGTCAGAATATTTATGCCTGATTCATGGCTGAAATTGTGTTTGACCAGCTATGTGTGTCTCTTAATCCACTCAAGTAGATGTCTAAAATTAACCATCAGAATATTTATGCCTGATTCATGGCTGAAATCGTGTTTGACCAGCTATGTGTGTCTCTCAATCCGATCAAGTAGATGTCTGAAATTAACCATCAGAATATTTATGCCTGATTCATGGCTGAAATTTCAGGATGAAAGCTATGAAATCTCTATTTGTGTTTGTGTATCTATTAATGTATGTTATGTATATGTGATATTTTCTTAACTCCAGAGAGCATTGCAAAATTCATTTATGAAATCCTCTAAAAGTGCTCTATTCTAACTTGGCTTGGAAAAAAATAAGCATTTATAAATAAATATTCACCAAACTCCTAGAAATATAGGAACTGATCAAATGTTTCTTAAGTTAACATGATTTGGATAAAACTTAGTTAAATAAGATTAATATAGTATTTTTGGTGTAATAAAACAACTGTATCTTCAAAATTATTATTGAATATAAAACAAGCATAAATTCCTATTCTGCTTGAGTTCTAGTCAAATAAGCTAATATTATACTTACTAGAAACATAAAATCTTAAAGCTTATAGATTTGATTCTAATTAAGTTGTCATTCTTATGAAAAACATTATTTTTTTATGCTGAAAAGATACACATATATTTAGAGTTAGCCAGCTGGACTCAGTTTAGGTGATCCCAATTTTGTTACAACATCGAAAGCATCATAATCAGGAGCAAGTCGAACATATGCCTTCTTCTCTTTATCAGGACAAATCAGGGTGGTGACCTTGGCCACATCACTGTCATAGACCTTCTTCACAGCCTGTCTGATCTGGTGCTTGTTGGCTTTAACATCCACAGTGAACACAAGCGTGTTGTTTTCTTCTATCTTCTTCACGGCCGACTCAGTGGCCAGCGGAAACTTGATGATAGCATAGTGGCCAAGCTTGTTTCTCGTGGGGGTACTCTTCCGAGGATATCTGGGCTGCCTCCGGAGTCGCAGTGTCTTGGGCCGCCTGAAGGTGAGTGACATGCGGATCTTCTTTTTTGCGTGTGGCTGCGGACACCTTTCAACACTGCCTTCTTGGCCTTTAAAGCCTTCGCTTTGGCTTCGGCTTTAGGAGGAGCAGGAGCTTCCTTCGCTTTTGGTGCCATCTTGTGAAAAGCGAAAAACATTATTTCAAAAATAATTTGTTTACAGTAAATCTGCCTAAGAATAGTTTCCAAAGTACTTTTGGTAATTTTTAACCTTAAAGTTAAGCTAAGTAAAAGATTTGCATTAAATATCTAGATCATTTATAAATAAGATACAATACTAAAACATTAATTACTGAACATAAATAATTCAAGTTTATGTACTTTTGGCTTCCTATTTTTACAGAGAGACTAAAGATATTTTGGCCCGTTAATAAACATGTTTTTTTCTGCCACACTGAGGAATTGTATTATGAGGAAACACATCCCTCTAGATGTTGGGAGATGGTATATTCATACATTTTCTAACCTACTATAGAATGCTAATATATGACAGTTTATAACTGTCTACTTCCTAGTTTTCTCTGGAAAATAAAAGATTACTAAGTATTAAAATTATAATCAATATATGTAAATAAAACTACTAGAAATAATAGAATAACTAGAAACTATGCAAAGCATGCAAGAAAAGTAGGGCATGTTTCGCAAGTAAAGTAGGTTGCATTTTTTATAAGGAAAACCATACAGAAGATACAAATAAAAAGAGATACCTAACCTTCCCTGTGTTATATTTGTATGGGTAAAATGTTATGTTTTCAGAAATTATATAAAATTCCTGGAAGTTTGTCAATGTCCTCCTTATCCATGCTATGTGCCACTATAGAGTAATGAGTCATAATTCCAATTATTACTTTAAATGTTGTGCCAGGCACAGTGGCTCATGCCTATAATCCCAGCACTTTAGGAGGCTGAGGCGGGTGGATCACAAGGTCAGGAGATCCAGACCATCCTGGCTAACCCGGTGAATCTCCATCTCTATTAAAAATATAAAAAATTAGCCCGGCGTGATGGCAGGCACCTGTAGTCCCAGCTACTCAGGAGGCTGAGGCAGGAGAATGGCGTGAACCCAAGAGACAGAGCTTGCAGTGAGCCCAGATCGCACCGCTGCACTCCAGCCTGGGCGACAGAGCAAGACTCTGTCTCTAAATAAAGAAATAAATAAATGTTGTCTGCCACAGAAAAAATCGAATATCCTTGTCAGTTGTGGTATAATGAACTCTCATCAGATCTTTCATCACAGCCATTTCATACTTTTTGTCATTTAGATATTATTTCCCCCTGATGCTTTCCTGAAAGCTCCTGCAATCAACTACAGGTCAGAATGTTCGTCTCCAAGACAGGACTCCCTCTGAGACTCACAGAAAAGACTATGACAGGTACTCTGGTTATAGGCTTCTGATGATATTGCTTAAATAACTTTAAGACCATACACTTGACTCAGTTAAGGTCTCCAGAAGTCCGGTTGGGAAACTGATGGGTTCATGACACTGCTAACTCAAGATCCACAAGACTGGAATTGATTACATGGCACTGAATGAACTGATGAAAATTGATTATAATTGTATAGCTTTTTGGAGCATTGCTGGTTAATATTCTAGTTTCTGGATTTAAGAAATCTCTTTCTCTTACTCTAACTGTAACTTACAACAATTTAGTAGATTATACTTTTGTAAACAGAAATGAAGCGTTTATCTTTTTTTCTTGCCTGATTTTTCCAGAATTTTGAAATCCTTACTGAATACTCTTATTTCCACGATGATATAGTTGTTAGCAAAAGTCCAATAAGAATCTATTCACCTTATAACAGGACATAATTGGAAATTTTGGTTATATTATCAAGGTTTTTACTGGAACATCATAATTAGGAAGTGTACCTAAGATCAGTTATGACCAGCAATTTTAAGGAAGTAAGGTTCACTTTTATGGAGACAATGCTTACAAAGCACTGTGGAAAACTTTGAGGAAAGTTCTTCCTCAAAGATTATAAAGTCACAACTACCCACTATTTTTATATGTGTGTGTGTGTGTGTGTGTGTGTGTGTGTGTGTGTGTGTTCCAAATCACTTGTCCTAGCTTGCTCCAGCATGCCTGGACAGAACTAGACAAGCCCCAGCCCATACTGCATGCCATTCCTTATTTGGAGATGCTTCCTTAACTATCCCTGGGCAACTTCCTTTTCTTTCTTTCTTCTATTCCCCTTACCTAATTAAGAAAGTTTTAAACAAACAGCCAATCGGGTAAAGTGTAAAATGGGAGGTCCTATTCCAGCCAATGGAAACTGGACACAGCAGTAGGGTAGACACGTCAGGTTATAAGTAACTCTGTCTCCTTTGTTTGGTGTGCTCTTGTAGCTGGACAGCTATTGAGTAGCACCCTTTGTGCAGAAAAATAAAGCTCGCCTTGCTAAGAGATCATTTGTTCCCATGTTAGTTCTTTTTTTGGGGGGGGGAACATAAAAAACTTCATTCCCAACAGCACTCTGAGAAAACCCAGCCTGATACCTAGATTACAGGGTTCACAGCCTTATAGGTTAGTAAGGAAGGTCATTTCCTGGTAGGCCCAGGAATTTAGGGATATTTTGGGGCCTCAAGAAGAGAGGAATTCACACAAAGCTATAAGGACTGCAGCTGAAATTTGATAGCATGTTCTTGGCTTGGCTTTTAGCCTGAATAAGGCCTTTAAAAGTCAAATCTGAGATTCTGTATGAAAACTTCCAGCAAAGAAACCTGAAAGCACCTACGTGGTCATCTCCTGTTCTTGCTGCACTTACGTAAATAATCAAGCAAAATCTAACAAAACTAGACTTATTTTTAAAACAAGAATAGTCTTACTTTGATTATGATCAAAAATGATGGTTACTACAGAGAGAAATTTTATCTTTCAAAGGAAAAGTATAACACAGCCGGGCATGGTGGCACATGCCTATAATTACAGCCCTTTGGAAGGCCAGGAGTTCAACATCAGCCTGGGCGACATGGTGAAACCCCGTCTCTACCAAAAATACAAAAATTAGATGGGCATGACGGCATGTGCCTGTGTCCCAGGTAATCAGGAGGCTGAGGAGGGAGGATCGTTTGCACCCAGGAGGTAGAGGTTGCAGTGAGCTGAGATTGCACCTTTGCACTCCAGCCTGGGTGACAGAGCCAGACCCTGTCTCAAAAAAAAATTTTTTAAAGGAAAACTATAGCCATTGTGAGTTATCAGATTCTAGTCTTGTTTCTTGTTTCTGGGCTATTTTTACCTCTTTGTAAACTGGATCCTGCCATCTGATGAATTTTGTCCCACAATGATACTTGGGGAACAAGAAGCCAAGTATTGTCTCTCCTACTAATGTATCTAGTGTCAGTTAATTTGAAGGTCTCCAACCCTGGAACAAAGTTAGAAGAGGAAGGTTCTGCTCCCCAAAATGCATAACCAAATTGTGCTACATTCATGTAATGGAATACTATTTAGCCATAGAAAGGAACAAGATATCAACACACACAAAGACATGAGTGAATCTTGCATGCACATTGCTAAGTGGAAGAAGACAGTCTGAGGAGGATACACACAGTGTGACCTCATTTAATGAGACACTGGAGAAGGCAAACTACACAGATGGGAAGCCATTGGCTCCATGGGGTGGGGGTTTGAGGCATTCCATATGATACTTTAATAGTGGGATATCTGCCACAATGCATTTGTCGAAATACGCAGAATTTTACAGCCAAATGGTTAAAGCAAACTCTATTCAAATTAAATCCAATTACTCAGGATGTGGAGTATCCCAGGACAGAATACATCATGTGAAAAAGAATTTATGCTACAAATTACTATGGTTTGGATGTGGTTTGTCCCCACAAAAACTCATGTTGAAATTTGACTCCCACTGCGTCAGTGTGGGGCGGTGGGGCCTAGTGGATGGTGTTTGGGTCGTGGGGACGGATCCCTCATGAATAGATTAATGTCCTCCATGGGGGTGAGTGAGTTCTGTTCTCACAGGAATAGATAATTCCTGCAGGAGTAGGTAATTAAAAAGAGTCTGGCTTCCTTGGCTTCCCTCTTGCTTTCACTTCTGCTGTGTGATCTCTGGTGCACCCCTTGCTCCCCTTCCACTTTCCACCATGAGGTGAAAAAGACTGAGGCCCCGCCAGATGCAACTGCCCAATCTCACACATTCCAGCCACCAGTATTGTCAAACAAATGAAACTTTTTTACTTATAAATTACGCAGCCTCAGGTATTCTGTTACAGAAGCACAAAATGGACTGAGACACAAATCTAGGTAAAAACTTTGAAAATGAAAAGAATCTGTAGGCTGAAGGCACATGAACTATACTTCATTATTGGATTCCATTTTATAAAGTTCTTTCCAACAGAAGCAATTGTGAACAATTGTAAAACCACAGTGTCTGTATCTGGAATAAAACAATGACTTACATAAGTCGCAGATGGTGGGAACCAGGTTTCTTACTGTTGAAGTGGGAGGTTACAAATTAGCAAGGCGAGAAGGCTAGAATGATTCATGTGATAGTAGATCAGAGGTGGAGACATCAATGTAAACTTATGTTTAGTTTAATATAGACACACACAGTTCTACATAGAAAACTTTATAATTAGGTGTGTATAGGTAGGTTAGACACACACATATACTTCCTAGCATTGCCAATGAGGGAGAAGATACAATGTGCTCATTCAGCAGCCAGATGTAAGTTTTCCTACCATTCTGAAAGGAATCAGGCTCTTTGAAGAAATGTCTGATACTAGAACTGGGACAGTAAATATAGGAGCCAGGATAATCTGGAAGTATCAGAAAGTAAGTACAAAAAAATTAAAACATATCAAAGAAAAATAAGAGCCAATAAAAACAGCTACTGATGGCCAACACAGGAATGAATTGTGCAACATAATACTGTAGTGTTGAATAATAACTAAAGCTTAAGGTAATTATCTAGGTGTCTGTATTTGTATACCTAGGTGAATAAGCAAATGGAGTTGCATAGAAATCTCCTTTGCAAAAGAATTCCAAATAATTGATGTAGACACTCAGCCGTCAAGAAGGTGGAGCCAACTCCTGACGGAGTGAGGCTCTGCATAGTGACTTGCTCCAAAAGAACACATGCAGTGCGGACAAGGAGGAGAAATAACCTCACAGTGGAGAAACCTGACAAACATTAGCTCTGCCAAATGATCCAAGTGAACATCAAAGGTGACAGTTCACCTTGAGAACATGAAGTGACAATGGGGGACATTCTACAACATTCCTGACCAGTCCTCCTCAGTGCTATGAAGGTCATCATGAGATGGAAAGCCTAACACACTGTCACAGCCAGGAAGAGCCTATGTGATGACTACATGTCGTGTGGGATCCTGGATGGGATCCTGGGTCAGAGTAAGATAGAACTAAGGGAATCCAAATGAAATATGAACTTTAGTTAATAACAGTCTATCAGTATTGGTTCATTAACTGCGGCAAATTATGTAAGATATTAATAAGCCATGTGAGACACACTGATAGAAGATGTTAATAAGAGAGGAAACTAGGTTGCGGCTACATGGGAAATCTCTGCTTTTTTTTTTTTTGACGATTTCTGTGTAAGTAAAAAAAAGACGTAAAATAAAACTTTATTTAAAACACTTTTTTTAACACTTCCTTGTTTAATTATTTATACCATGAATTACTAGTAATTGACACTGTTAACTAGTCCTGTTTTTTAAAATAAGAGCAATTATGACACAAAAAATTAAACAGTGCAGACTGATACATAAATCAAATGTTCTTTACATGTTTTCTGTTACTGTAGTAACACACATGTGTAAACTTAATTATCACATGTTTTTCTTGTGCTGTGGTTGTGTCCTGGGTTCATTCTCTAAAATGCTGTTCATCTTAGACCAGGAAAAATATTAACCATACAGACTCTGTTTCAAGTCATAGCTGAATATTTTCAAAAGAGTGACTTTGTAAAAACATGTTCCAATGGCAAATTGATTCATTGTGATGGGATCAATTATTCCAAAGACTTCTTGTCTTTATTTTGTTGCCATGCCTACCTTTTAGCCATGATACAACAGAATCAAATATTGGCCACTGGGAAAAAATATTCAAAGAAAGAAAGAATGTGAACAGAACTTGTGACCACGATGATTCAATGTTTTACCACAATGCTTTCTAAAACAAGAGTCTAAAAGGATATTCAAAGTCAATTTCCTCAGTGAGGCTTTGCAGAAAATGAGGAAACTAGAGAAACAAAAATGGCAGGACATTCTACGGTTGATTTTAAATGTTGCTATGTTTTATGGGAAAAAATACTTTACCTTTTAAAGAATCACAAAGAATTATTGGAAACCCAAACTCTGGAATGTTTGCAAATTTAGTTGAGCTTCTATGTAATTATGTCTATATAGGTAGCCATGAAGTTGATGATTTCTTAAAAATCTGTGCCTTATTTGTGTAATAAAAGACACAATGAATAATTAATACTCATAGGAACACTTACGAAGGGAAAATAAATCTTGGGGACCCAAAATCACTAAGCTAAAGGGAAAAGTCAAGCTGGGAACTGCCTAGGGCAAACCCGCCTCCCATTCTATCCAAAGACACCCGTCTGATCACCGAGATAAATGCATACCTGATTGCCTCACGTGGAGAGGGTAATCAGCAATGCAAAAGAATGAAACCATTTGTCTCTTACCTACCTGTGACCTGGAAGCCCCCTGTCTGGCCTTCTCACCTTTCTGGACTGAACCAATGTACATCTTACACATATTGATTGATCTCTCGTGTCTCCCTAAAGTGTATAAAACCAAGCTGTGCCCCGACCACCTTGGGCCCATGTTGTCAGGATCTCCTGAGGAGGCATCACAGGTGCACATCCTCAAGATTGGCAAAATAAACTTTCTAAAAAATCTGAGAGCTGTCTCAGATTTTCAGGGTTCACACATGTAATGTAGGATGTCAATGTTTATAAAAGGGATGTTATTCTATCTACTATTAGAAATATGCTGTCAATTAACCTTAAACTTTCTCAACAAAATAAAAAATGTTGATGAGGTACAAATAATATATCTAAGCTTAAATAGTGTTGCAGGTTTTAATATGCCTACTTTTCAATTTTTCAATACTATCTTTACTAATTTAACACTGTAAGAAAAATGAGTAATTAAAACATGAATAAAAGTGTTTACAGGGGATGCACATGTTTCCTCCAGCCTCTGCCTATACCCAACTTTCATCCCAACTGTCCTGATGGTGGCTCTAAGCATTTCTCCTTTCTCTATACCAAGATCTCTCCCCAGAAACAAACCCAAATCTTACTATATGTTATGGCACGCTATGATGATGAGCAGCGATGAGCAGCCGAAGCCTCAAGGAAGGGATGCTTTTGTAAAACAAGACTTGTGGAATATAACATGTGAAAGTAAAGCCCACGGCAGAGCTCCCTCCTCAGCACACGGGGAGCAGACAGGAAGTTTTTCCTCACCTTCCTCAATGGCCTGCAGCCACGTCTCCCCAGGTCAGTCTTAAGGACAATGAAACTCTGGTCTTCACTGTGGACACGCCACACTACCAGGGGCTCCAAAGCCATGGTGACCCACCCTCGGGTGGGTCCTGAGGAGAACAAAGCTCTGGTTCTAATTCTAACCCTAACCTTGTCCCAAGACTTTGACACTGAACCTAAATCCTGATCCCTATCCTGGTCCCTAATTCTGACCCTGACTTTGATCTCGACCCTGACCATGACCCCACCTCTAACCATACTTCTGGCCCTGACTCTGACCCAGATCCTAATCCTATCCCTAACCCTATTATTATCTTTACAATCTATGTCTAATCTTACCCTCTAGTGCTAAATAGCTGTACCCAAAAGCACTTTTAAATTATTTAACTTCTTTTCCTTGAATTCTCTAAGGACATCCTAAAGGAGATGTCAATATGTATTTTGCATTCCCTCTGAGTGGTATGGCTTCAGATAAGAAGTTCTAATACTTTGCAAGACATAAAAAGTTTGGAGGGTGACAGCACTGGGTTGTTAGGGATGCATGTTGGCATTCGTGGTAGTCATAGGTGCTGTTCTCCAGATATTTTCAGTTCATATTTTATGAATGCATTCTGACTGTTCCATCCCGCCTACTTACATTTTCACATGGCCACATGACTTTTTTTTTGCCAATGGAGGTGAGAAGAAATAACATGTGACTTTTTCAGGAGAAATCTCCAAGAAACAGAGTTCTATTCCGCATACTTTTTTCTCTTTTCTATAGCAATGGGGATCTTACTGATTGTCCCTCCTTCTGTCTGGATTCCTGTGTTAGGATGACACGGCACAGAGCTACCTCTCACCTGACCCATGATGAAATGTAAATAAATGAGGAAGAAGATTTTTGAGCCACTGAAATTTGGAGGTTGTTTGTCACCACAGTTTAACCTAGCCCCCATTTACTGATGCACGGCTGAAGAATGAGTCCGAACTGGATCTAGACAAGACATGTGAAGAGCACGCCAGGCTGAGTAAAATTCAAGTGTTGTCTCAAAGATAACACTGAGCACGATATGTTATTGGGGTGGGTGTGGGATAAATAAGGTATATCAGGTGAGAATAACAAGAAACTCAACTTTAAAAGACGGTGCCGATTTGGAAGACACCAAATTGGAAGACAGCAGGAGCTGCCCCATAATACCAGTAAAGTGAGAAGCAGAGATAAACTAGTCCTAGACAGCTGACTCATGTTGGGGGCAGCCCACTCACAGTGGCCCTGACCCAACTCTGACTAGAGGCCACTTGCTCTCAACACCAGGGTGCTCAATGGCCCGTCCTGGTACTCTGCTCTACACTGGTTGTAGGAAGGAATCTACAGGTTGAAATAAGGAGATCATTTCCCTGAGGTTCCGAAGCTCATATTTACTCACCATTTGTTGTTTACTGCTAATGTTGAGCACTGTCAGTAAAATACATAAAACCCTTTGCCAATCCAGGAAGTGAAAATGACACTTTACTGTTTTAATTTGCATTTCTCTGCTTACAAGTGGATTACACACATTTTCATGTGCTGTTGGCTACTTATTCATTCAGAAAACATACTAAGTGCTGGCTCTTTTTCATGTCCTTTATCAAGTTTGGATCATGTCATTTGCTATTTTCTTTCTGATGTAAACTCTCAAAGTCTGAAGGGTATTGTCTTTTCCTGACACATATGTTGTAAATAATTTTCTGGCTTACATTTTGACTTTTAATTTCATTCACGATGTTTTTAATGAATAATTTTAATTTTTATGAATGCAAGTTAAAATAATTCTTTCATTGTGGTTTCTGACACGTCATGCCAATAAGGGTCTTCTCCTCCAAGAGCACAGAAATATTTGCCAATACTGTCCTTAAAATCGGTCACAGTTTCATTTTTTATATATGCATTTTACTTCAATTGGGGCTTCATTTTACTGAATGCCCTATTTGAAGCAAGTTTCTCAGTTAATTCTTTTCTCAAAGGGCTAAGTATGGTAGATTGCAAACATAAGTGGCCACATAATGCTCTCACCTCCTTTGCCTCCTCTCCCAGGAGGAGATAGCGTCCATCTTTCCACTCCTTAATCTGGGCTTGGCCGTGTGACTTGCACTGGCCAATGGGATATTAACAAGTCTGATGTGCACAGAGGCTGTAGAATGTGCACGGGGGCTTGGTCTCTCTTGCTGCCCTGGAGACCAGCTGCCCCACGAAGGAACCAGAGCCAACCTGCTGCTTCCTGGAGGAAGACAGTCCCTCTGTCCCTCTGTCTCTGCCAACCAGTTAACCTGCTGCTTCCTGGAGGGAGACAGTCCCTCAGTCCCTCTGTCTCTGCCAACCAGTTAACCTGCTGCTTCCTGGAGGAAGACAGTCACTCTGTCTCTGCCAACCCAGTTGACCGCAGACATGCAGGTCTGCTCAGGTAAGACCAGCACAGTCCCTGCCCTGTGAGCCAAACCAAATGGTCCAGCCACAGAATCGTGAGCAAATAAGTGATGCTTAAGTCACTAAGATTTGGGCAAAAGCTGAGCATTTATCCCAATCCCAATACTGTTTGTCCTTCTGTTTATCTGTCTGTCCTTCCCTGCTCATTTAAAATGCCCCCACTGCATCTAGTACATTTTTATAGGATCAGGGATCTGCTCTTGGATTAATGTTGTGTTCCCACCTCGAGGCAGCTTTGTAAGCTTCTGAGCACTTCCCAATTCCGGGTGACTTCAGGCGCTGGGAGGCCTGTGCATCAGCTGCTGCTGTCTGTAGCTGACTTCCTTCACCCCTCTGCTGTCCTCAGCTCCTTCACCCCTGGGCCTCAGGAAATCAATGTCATGCTGACATCACTCTAGATCTAAAAGTTGGGTTCTTGGACCAGGTGTGGTGGCTCACACCTGTAATCCCAGCACTTTGGGAGGCCGAGGCGGGTGGATCACAAGGTCAGGAGATCAAGACGATTCTGGCTAACACGGTGAAACCCCGTCTCTACTAAAAATACAAAAAAATTAGCCGGGTGTGGTGGCAGGTGCCTGTAGCCCCAGCTACTTGGGAGGCTGAGGCAGGAGAATGGCTTGAACCTGGGAGGTGGAGCTTGCAGTGAGCCAAGATCACGCCACTGCACTCCAGAATGGGAGAGAGAGCGAGACTTTCTCAAAAAAAAAAAAAAAAACTTAGGTTCTTGGATGTTCGGGAAAGGGGGTTATTATCTAGGATCCTTGAAGCACCCCCAAGGGCATCTTCTCAAAGTTGGATGTGTGCATTTTCCTGAGAGGAAAGCTTTCCCACATTATACAGCTTCTGAAAGGGTTGCTTGACCCACAGATGTGAAGCTGAGGCTGAAGGAGACTGATGTGGTTTCTCCTCAGTTTCTCTGTGCGGCACCAGGTGGCAGCAGAGGTCAGCAAGGCAAACCCGAGCCCAGGGATGCGGGGTGGGGGCAGCTACGTCCTCTCTTGAGCTACAGCAGATTCACTCTGTTCTGTTTCATTGTTGCTTAGTTTGCGTTTTGTTTCTCCAACTTTGTACCTCATCAGGAAAAGCTTTGGATCACAATTCCCAGTGCTGAAGAAAAGGCCAAACTCTGGAAAAAATTTTGAATATTTTGAGCCAAATGTGAGGACTACAACCTGTGAGAACGGAAAATAAATCCTGGGACCCCAGACTCACTAAGCCAAAGGGAAAAGCCAAGCTGGGAACTGGCTTATGCAAACCTGCTTCCCATCTGGTTCCTAAATAAGATAGCTATTACACAAAGATAAAAAAGCTACATCCCTGCCTCTACCTCCATCACATGTAAAATGTGTATTCAGTGAACGCTGACCAAAGACAGAAGAATGCAACCATTTGCCTCTGATTTACCCACACCCATTTTTTCCACTTCTTCCCCTTTCCCCAACACCCACACTTCTCCCCTTTACTTACTGAGGTCCCCAGACAACCTTTGGGAAAAGCACGGACCACAGTTTTTCCTGTGGTTCTCTGTTCTTTTCTCAGGTGTGTCCTTAACCTTGCAAACAGATTTCTTGAAATGATTGACACTCACCTTGGTTGTGTTCTTTGATCAGCGCCTGTGACGCAGCTTCAGGAGGTCCTGAGAACGTGTGCACAGTTTAGTCGGCAGAAACTTAGGGAAACGTAAGACCACCATCAGTACGTAGGAGTTGTGCATTGGTTTGGTCTGGAAGGAGGAAAATTCAAAGTAATGGGGTTTACAGGTCATAGATAGATTCAAAGATTTTCTGATTCTCAATTGGTTGAAAGAATTATTATCTACAGACCTGCTATCAATAGAAAGGAGAGTCTGGGTTAAGATAAGAGACTGTGCAGACCAAGGTTCTTATTATGTAGATGAAGTTTCATAGGTGGCCACCCTTAGAGACAATAGATGGCAAATGTTTCCTGTTCAGACCCATAGAAGGTGCTAGGCTCTCAGCCAATGTCTTCAGGATCAGAGAAAGACCTGGAAAGGGAAGGGATTCTCTACAGAATGTAAATGTCCCCCACAAGAGACAGCTTGGCAGGGCCATTTCAAAGTATGTCAAAGAAATATATTTTGAGGTAAAATATTGATTTCATGGCCTCTGTCTGTCATGTGATGCTGCACTGGAGTCAGGTTGGAATTTGGTATCTTATTGCTAGAGAGCCTTGTCAGTCTTCAGATCTCTGTTTTAATGTTGGTTCTGGTCAGTTCTGCCCAAATTCCAAAGGGAGGAGGGTACAATGAGGCCTGTCCAGCCCCCACTCCTCCTCATCACGGCCTGAACTAGTTCTTCAGGTTTCTCTGGAATCCCTTTGGCCCAGAGGCGGGGTCCACGCGATCGGCTGTGGGGCTTAGAATTTTATTCTTGGTTTACGGCAGCTTTAGGGAGGTGCTCTGAGACCCGAAACTAGACTCGACTTTAACAGACACAGACGACCCTGAAGGTGAGACTGTCTGCTGGTGGGATGCTGGGCGAGTTGCTTAATGTCCCTGAGCTGCTATTTGCTAACTGTGAAGTGGGATCCTGGTCCCTGACAGGCAAGATTTTGGCACACGGAGAGCTGGTGCACGTGGGCGGCTGTCCCCTAAACTCGCGTCCCTTCTTTTTAATCATACCCCACTGGCTGCACCTACACCTCCTCCCAGGCACACACCGAAGAGGATGAGCTCTGGTCCTCGAACCTCTTGTCTGCTCCCACCAGGCAGATTCTCTGTTCCCCGTGCCCAGGCAGCAGTGGTGGACACCAGCATCCCGGAATGGTGTAGAAAGGCTGACCCCATCATAGCCAAAGCCTGGGGTTTCCTGTTTCCCTCCTCCTCCTCCCCACTCCTCCCCCGACCCCTCCCTCCTCCACTTACCCCCATCCCCTGCATAATGGGTTTCTAGCTGCCTCCTCTGCCTGCCCAAACAGGACAGGCAGGAAAAACTGGCTTGGTTCTGAGTAGGCAGTTTCAGGGCCTTAAGGAGAAATTCATCGGCCATTAATCAGGACCTTCCCTCCGGGGAGTTGGCAGCTTCAGGTGTGGTCTCTGGAAACAAGCCCCACAAATTATTATCAGAGAACCTCTGTCTTGGGTGGCAGAGGCAGCCTGGTTGGGGTGGGCACCCCGGCTACGGAAAGGAGCAGCTCCCTCCACTTTCCTTCCGGCTGCATGTGGAGAGGCTCGAGCGGGGCACAGTCCATGACGAGATATTAATCTTGTGTTTGGATTTTTCCTTTTTTTTAATAAAGAAGAAAGATAAGGTATTGTGCTCATCTTGTAAAAATCAAGCACACAGTACATCAGTCTATTCTACAAAGAAACACAACCTAAGCAAAGATTTGTTATAGGCAGTGGCCAGTTACAGAAACAGTAGGACTTGCATTAGGGGTTTTGTATGGGAAAGAAAGGGAGTCAGACACAGACGTGATGGTGGAGACAGGGGCAGGAAGACAGAGCAGCTGACACTTCCAGAAATAGCTGGCCAGAGGCCAGCAGGAGGGAAACACCAACCCGAGGAAAGAGAGACGGGGATTGGGAGAGAAATTCAGAAGAGACTGAGGCACGCACACAGACAGACGCACCCACCCACACACAGATACGGATTCAAAGAGACACGCACACTCTGAGTTTCTGAGAGTAAGCCACTGTCAGTTCCTGGGGTGAGCCACCAGCCACATGGACACAATTTCCTCTTTTTGGTAAGTCTTTGACCTGTCTGAACCCCCTACTTAATTACCTATAAAATGAGTCATTGCAAGGATGACAAAGACGCTCTCCTTGACCAAACTCCACTCAGGCTCCTTTGAGCCTTCTCCTTGATGAAGCCTCATCCTTGGCCTGCTGAGCTCAGTGCTAGCAAGGAATGCTGCTAAGGTCCTTAGTGAGAATCTTCCCCACCCTTGCTAACTAACCAAGCTCCTTTCAACAACTTTTCATCACCTCCCTCACCCTGCTCATTGGCTATCCCCACTTGTCTCTGTTGTATTGAGAGTTGAATTCAGTCTCTCTCTCTCCTCTTGCAATAGTTTTTTTTTTTTTTAAGAGACAGGGCCTTGCTCTGTCAACCAGGCTGGAGTGCAGTAGCACAATCACAGCTCAGAGCAGCCTCAAACTCCTAGGCTCAAAGGATCCTCCCACCTCAGCCTCCTGCGTAGTTGGGACTACAGGTGTATGCCACTGCACCAAATAATTTTTTAAAACATTGTAGAGATGGGGTCCTGCTTTGTTGCCCAGGCTGGTTTTGAAGTCCTGGCTTCAAGTGATCCTCCCACCTGGGCCTCCAAAGGTACTGGGATTACAGGCATGAGCCAACCTATCAGCCTGGTAATCAGCCTGGTAATCACGTAAAACAGACACATAGACCAGTGGAACAGAATAGAGAACCCAGATATAAATCCACACATTTACAGCCAGCTCATCTTCAGCAAAGGCACCAACAACATACGAGCGAAAGGACGGTCTCTTCCATAAGTGGTGCAGGGGAAACTAGATAAAGATATGCAGAAGAATGAAACTAGACCCGTCTCTCTTACCATACACAGAAATCAAATCAGAATGGATTAAAGGTAAAACTGAGACCTGAAAGTATAAAACTACTGGAAGAAAACATTAGGGAAGTGCTCCAGGACATTGTTCTCAGCAAAGACTTTTTCAGTAGGGCCCCAAAAGCACAGGCAACCAAAGCAAAAACAGACAAGTGAAATCACACCAAGCTAAGAACCCTCTGCAGACCAAAGGAAAAAGTCAACAAACTGAAGAGACAACCCACAGAATGGGAGAAAATACTTGCAAGCTACCCACCTGACAAGGGATTCATAACCAGGAGCTCAAACAATAGCAAACAATTAATCGAATTTTAAAATGGGCAAGAGACCTGAGTAGACATTTCTCAAAAGAAGATGTACAAATGGCCAGCAGGTACATGAAAAAATGCTCAACATCACTAATCATCAGAGAAACGCAAATAAAAAACTGCAATGAGGTCTTCTCTCACCTCAGTTAAAATGGCTTTCGTCAAAAACGCAGGGAATAAGGGATGCTGGCGAGGATGTGGAGAAAGGGGGACCCTCACACACTGTTGTGGGAACGTTGATTAGTACAACCACTATGGAAAACAGATGGAGGCTCCTCAAAAAACCAAAAGGGGCCGGGCATGGTGGCTCACGCCTGTGGTCCCAGCACTTTGGGAGGCCAAAGCAGGGGGATCACAAGGTCAGGAGTTTGAGACCAGCCTGGCCAACATGATGAAACCCCATCTCTACTAAAAATATAAAAAATTAGCCAGGCGTGGTGGTGCGACCCTGTAATCCCAGCTACTTGGGAGACTGAGGCAGGAGAATCACTGGAACACAGGAGGTGGAGATTGCGGTGAGCGGAGAGCGCACCATTGCACTCCAGCCTGGGTGACAGAGCAAGACTCCTCCTTAAAAAATAAATAAATAAATAAAAGTTGGCCGGGCGCGGTGTCTCACACCTGTAATCCCAGCACTTTGGGAGGTGGAGGCGGGCGGATCACAAGGTCAGGAGATCGAGACCATCCTGGCCAACATGGTGAAATCCCGTCTCTACTAAAATACAAAAAATTAGCTGGGCGTGGTGGTGCGCACCTATAAATCCCAGCTACTCGGGAGGCTGAGGCAAGGGAATCGCTTAAACACAGGAACCCGGGAGGCAGAGGTTGCAGTGAGCCAAGATCACACCACTGCACACCAGCCTAGTGACAGAGCAAGACTCCATCTCAAAAAACAAACAAACAAAAAAAAAAACACCTAAAAGTAAAACTGCTGTATGATCCAGTAATTTCACTAACTGGGCCTATAGTCAAAAGAAACAAAATCAATATATCGTAAAGACATCTGCACTCTCATGTTTACTGCGGGACTACTCACAATCGCCAAAATACGGAATCAGCCTCTGAGTTCATCAGCGGATGATGGATAAACAGAACGTGGTGTGTATACACAGTGGAATATTATTCAGCCATACAGAGGAACGACAGCCTGTTATTTGTACAAGATGGAACTAGGGATCATTATGTTAAGTGAAATAAGCCAAGCACAGAAAGACAAACATTGAATGTTCTCTCCCACCTACTAAAAAAGTAGCTCTCGTGAAGACAGAGGGTAGACGCGTGGTTACCAGAGGTGGGGAAATGTAGCGGGGAGACGGGGAGAAAGAGAAGTTGATTGAAGGGTACAAATACGTGGTTTGATAGAAGGAATAAGACCTAGGGTTACATAGATCATAGTTGGCAATTGCCTACTGTATATTTCAAAATGGCTAGAAGAGAAGAATCGGAACGGTTCTAGCATAAAGCAAAAACAAATATTTAAGGCGATAGATATTCCAAGTAGGCTGATTTGATTTTCACAATTATATGAATGCATTAAACTATCACATGTACCCTGAAACTATGTACATCTATTATGCATCAGTGAAAAAGAAAAAAGAAACAAGAACTTAGATTTTAAACTCAGCACTCTCCTAGTGGGCTCCTTAAAAATATTTTTGTTTGGGAGGACAAAGTAGGAGGATTCCTTGAGCCCGGGAGCTTGAGGCTGCAGTGAGATAGTGCCACTGCACTCCAGCCTGAGCGACAGAGAGATACACTGGCTCTAAATATAAATAATATAAATATATATTTATGGAATAAATAAATGAATAAAATATCTTTGCATGCTGGTGAGCCCAGGGTACAGTCTGCCCTTGGCAGCTCGGTGACTCAGCCAAGGCGGCTGAACAATCCTCGCCCACTAGACAGTGGAGGTCGCCCTCCAGAGGACCTTATCAGATGTACGTGCAAAGCAGTTTTCAAGACAGTTTTCTATTCAGAGTGTGGTTTAGCCGTTCAGGGAGAGAGATCACAAAGGAAAACCACCTTTAGGAAAGCAGGTGAGAAAGGTGTAAGTTCCCAGGCTTGGGGGTCCTGGCCCAGCCTAGCTGTGGGCAACCCCAGGAAGGCTGAGCCCCGCAGGCTGTATGGACAAAGCATCTCGCTTTCCACACTGGCCACAGGTCTATCCCTGGCAGTAAACAGGTCACAGGTGGGCAGCAGGTCTAACACCTGTAGCGAAAGAACGCAGGAGAGGAACTGAGGCTCTGCTACCAGCAGATGCTCCAAGCACATCCCACGGGGAGGACCATGCACAACTCAGCTGGCCACAACCAGGAAAAGGGTGTCCAGGGCCTCAGAGCTGCTTCAGTGGGGCCATTTCCAGGCTCCCAAGCAGTAATGTGGGTGCCCTCTCAAGAACAGAAGCGGAACAGCCTAACGCTAATGTTTGGGAAGAAGAGAACAGTGATCCCCCTGGTTACCTCCCATCTCTCTCTGCAGTTCTCATGCATCTGTGCACACACGCTCACACACACATATGTCCATCAATCCACTCACAATGTTTGACTTAAAGCAGAAACCATATAAAGGGCAGGATAAGGAGAAAAGACGAAAGGAACTGAAAAGATGCAAACAGCCACTAACACGCCAATTTGCACCTTGCACAGGGCCTGGGAAGTAATGACACGGCTTCTCGTTATGCATCAATGATCTCATGTTTTCATTTTAACAAACACCCTAATACAAAAATAGGCTTTATAGGGAGGAGAGAAAATATGTTTTATAGGGAGGAGAGAAAAGCCATTCTGAAGAGCTGGATAGGTTGCCTTTGGCCCACATGGAGTCAGCCCCCTGCCCACGCCACCAGGCTCACGTTCAGGGCCCTGGCTGGAGAAACCTGAGCTGCAGGACCCGCTGCCCACCAATGCAGAAGAGAAGGCAGTATGCTTTTTGCATTGGGTGGAACAAAAACAGAAGAAATGGGAATTTGGTGAGAAATAAGGGAGGTGGTCCTCAGAATCTGCAGAGCAGTGGCTTCCAAACTCTGTGATGCAACCCCAGCCAGAAAAACACTTTACATCATGGCTGAGGGCACATACGTGCACGCACATATGCACAATACAGGAAATCTGGAATACAGAAAGCCCTGGAATTCCTAAATAACATCCTGCCCACATGGGAATTCTGCCCTAGCTGATGGCTTCTCCGAGGCCTAGGCCCAAATCCACACCTGCTGTTTAGCCCAGAGCCAAGCCTAGGAGTGTAGGGTCCCCTATGCATGGGTGTCCAACCCCATCCCTGTCCGGAATAGCACGGGTGCTTCTCGGTGCCACAAATGTTGGTGGCGGCTGGGGAGGAGTGGTTCCTCCAAGGCTCCATGCCTGCCTCCACCACTGAGGCCAGCACGGTGGGACTGGGCTAGGGAGACAGGCAGGCTGGCCTACCCACTGAAGGAGCCAGTCTGCTTCCACCTAGTCAGCAGCTCCAGGGAGCGCATCTCCCTCCAGGAAGGGCAGGAGGCCAAGAGGAGCTGGAAAGGTGGGCATTTGATATCATGAGGTATAAAGAGAGCTCCTAGGGGTCCCAGACATCAACTAATAAAAGCACCTCAGAAGTTCATAGATGGGGAAATAGCTGTGTGAATATACCGTGTTATCCAAGTCATGCGGAGAGGAAGGGCTCGAACCCATGGCTACTACTCCCCACCCCCGTCCTCCTCCTCCTCTTTCCATTAAGTTTTTGTGATTATGAAAGTAGCTTACATTTGGTGTAGAAAATATGGAACATATGGAAAAATTTAAAAAGACTCAGGCAAAGGGTCATGTGTCACTTCTTATGACCAGAGGCCGTTGCTCTTTATTAACAGATGGAAATGTTTTCTTCCAAATTGTGCTGCACGTTTTTGGCGAGAGCATGGGGCTGTGCGGCGTCCCCTCCCTGGCGCCCACCTGTGCCCTGCACACTGGCCTGCACTGTGGTGATCTCGCTTGGCCCCCACCTGATTCCCGACATACAGCAGAGGAAGCTTAGGCTCAGGTGGAACAGCCTCAACTGATTCTGTCCCTGAACTTCCGTACACAGCCCTGGAGTCGTCTTAGAGCCATGATTTATTTAACTGTTCTTTCATTTTACAGAACATAAAATGTATTGTTTCCAACTTTTTTCCTATGGTAAATAATACTAAAGTAAATATCTCTGTGCATGAATCTTTTTGTATATGTTGGAATATCCTTAAGATAAGGCCCCAGAACTAAAAGTACCCTGTCAAAAGGTGAGCATTTCCGGTTCCCCTGCTGTGCTTTGCTGCGTTGTTCTCTCCTGCTGCAACGTTCTCACTCCACAATCCTGGGGCAGGGAGGGGAGGCCCAGCTGAGTTTGGATCATAATCCTGAAAGACACAATCCCAAGCACCATAATGTGGAATGTTGAAATCCCTAAAGATCAAAATCCCTCAAGTCTAAAATCCCTGATATTTCAGATGACCACAGCTACAGGGCTAGGTGCACACAATTAGTAACCGTAGCGATATACGTGTACACGTTTCTCTTTTGACTTATTTCTTTATGGTCTGTCTTCTTATAACTGCTACACCCATGCCGCCGTCGTTAGTTACCTCAGTGTTTATGCAAAAATACCTGTTATCATTGCCTATTTTATTGTGTAAAGTGGCCTATGAAATGTTCTGTTGTGTTTTTATGTTTCTCAAATACATACCTTTTAAAAATGTAAATAAATAACATCGACATTATTTTTTCCAGATTTATACTTTTGGGATTTTGATCTTTGGGATTTCAGGATGAGGTATTCGGAGCTGTGTCTTTGGGGATGATGACCGGCTCCTGTGCCGTCCCACCCATCTTTGCGGCATGGGACCTTGGCATCCCCACCTCGGCCCTGGCTCTACCTGACCTCACAATGGACCAGGCCAACTCAGTCAATGTGGAGTCAGCATCAGGTAGACCTGGGGCTGAAACTCAACACTGGTGTTCACCTTGACCTAGCTTCTCTGAGCCTCAAGTTCCTCATCTGGACACCAGTGGGGTTAGGGGCTGAGGCACATCAGCACTAAGCAGGAGAGCTCATCGTTGCCATGCATCAGCTGTGGCTCTAGAGCCGAGACGCTCCCAGCCGTGTAGGCTTCCCAGCAGTGCAGGCCCCTCTCTAGAGCTGAGATGCTCCCGGCAGTGCAGGCCCCTCTCTAGAGCCGAGACGCTCCCAGCCGTGTAGGCCCCTCTAGAGCCAAGACGCTGCAGGGTTAATCAGGGCTGCCCAACAGTCCATCCCCTCTTCTCTCTCTGAAATCAAGAAACATTCCGAATTCCAAAATGCAACTGGTCCCAAGTGTTTCAGTTAAGGGACTGTGGCCCTGTGTAATGCCAGGCAGTGACAAGGACTGTGACTGGGAGCCATCGTAAGTCGATGCTGAATGCCAAAGGGAGGAAAGGAGGCAGCGGTCCTTAAAGGGCCCACTGAGCTCAGATCCCACGCCTGAGCCTCCGCCTCTCCGTGCAGTCCCGGAGATGGCACACAGCCTTCTGCACGAACCGCAATGAGCTGGGCTCCCTCATCACCGCTAGGAGCACTCTGAGAAAGCAGGGCCATTCCACGGGGTTCTGCAGGAGAACGGCGAAGGGTGCTGTTCAACCTGCTCAGTCAGTTGCTAGGTGAGGAGAATTTAGTATTCATAAGTGAAAATTTCTAAGTTACTGGAATTAATTATGGGGTTTGATTCTACATCATCCAGAAAAGCCTGGATGCCACACAGACTCAATGCTGAAAGCTCCCAGTGCACCTGCACAAACACACCCACACATGCACCCATATCATATACACACGTGCAAACATGTTCACATTCACACTCACTCCTACATACTCGGATCATATACACATTTGTGCACACGTGTTCATATTCACACTCCTACACACCCAGATCATACACACAAACACACACTTGTGCATACACATTCATGCTCACTCCCACACACCCAGATCATATACACACTCGTGCACACATGCTCACATTCACAATCACTCATACCCAGATCATACACACACTTATGCACACATTCACACTCACTCATACATACACAGATCATATACATACTTGCGCATACGTGTTCGTATTCACACTCCACACCCAGATCATACACACATACACACACTTGTGCATACACATTCATGCTCACTCCTACACACCCAGATCATATATACACTCGTGCACACATGTTCACATTCATGCTCACTCATACACACCGATTGTACACTCGTGCACACATTCACACTCATACACACCCAAATCATATATTCATGCACACATGTTCACATTCATGCTCACTCATACACACCCAGATCATATATACACTCGTGCACACATTCACACTCATACACACCCAAATCATACTCACATTCATGCACACATGTTCACTCATGCTCACTCATACACACCCAGATCATATATACACTCGTGCACACATGTTCACATTCACTCATACACAGCCCAAAATATACACATTAATGCACACAATACATATTCATACTTGCACACACCCAAATCATATACCCACTCACACACACATGTTCACATTCACACTCATACACACTCAGATCATAAATACATATGTACACATTCACATTCATACCCCCAAATCATACGCACACTAGTGTATACATGTACACACTCACACACACAAATCATACACACTCATACACACAGTCATACACACTCACACATACCCCCAAATCATATACACACTCATGCACACCGTCACACATATAATCCAAACACACAAAAATATATGCATGCGCTCATTCATACACAATCTCACACATACATATACAGCCATGTGGGATTTTTCTGCCATTTTCAGAAATGTAAATTTTGTAGTTCCTGCTTTTTAAAGACTATAAATTATTTTTAATTTACCTTCATTCTCAATTTTGTTTGTTATAAGTAGCTTGATTGTCATACAGCATCCAACGACGCATATTTCCTTTATTTTTTTTGAGATGGAGTCTTGCTCTGTCACCCAGGCTGGAGTGCAGGGGCGCGATCTCGGCTCACTGCAACCTCTGCCTCCCGGGTTCAAGTGATTCTCCTGCCTCAGCCTCCCGAGTAGCTGGGATTACAGATGCCCATCACCACGCCCAGCTAATTTTTGTATTCTTAGTAGAGACGGGGTTTCACCATGTTGGCTAGGCTGGTCTTGAACTCCTGACCTCATGATCCACCTGCCTCGGCCTCCCAAAGTGCTGGGATTACAGGTGCGAGCCACCGTGCTCTGCATATTTTCATGTTAAAAATGTTTTATTTAAAAAAAAAAAAAAGATGTCCAGAAGAGTTGCAAAGACAGTACTGCAACTTCCCACAGACCCGTTCACCAGCTTCCTCTCACTTGAGCATCTTACACAGCAATGAGGCACGTGTGGAAACTGCGACACTCACATGGGTGCCATCTCAGCAGCTCACGGTGTGGAAACTGCGACACTCACATGGGTGCCATCTCAGCAGCTCACGGTGTGGAAACTGCGACACTCACATGGGTGCCATCTCAGCAGCTCACGGTGTAGAAACTGCGACACTCACATGGGTGCCATCTCAGCAGCTCACGGTGTAGAAACTGCGACACTCACATGGGTGCCATCTCAGCAGCTCACGGTGTAGAAACTGCGACACTCACATGGGTGCCATCTCAGCAGCTCACGGTGTAGAAACTGCGACACTCACATGGGTGCCATCTCAGCAGCTCACGGTGTAGAAACTGCGACACTCACATGGGTGCCATCTCAGCAGCTCACGGTGTGGAAACTGCGACACTCACACGGGTGCCATCTCAGCAGCTCACGGTGTGGAAACTGCGACACTCACACGGGTGCCATCTCAGCAGCTCACGGTGTGGAAACTGCGACACTCACACGGGTGCCATCTCAGCAGCTCACGGTGTGGAAACTGCGACACTCACACGGGTGCCATCTCAGCAGCTCACGGTGTGGAAACTGCGACACTCACGCGGGTGCCATCTCAGCAGCTCACGGTGTGGAAACTGCGACACTCACGCGGGTGCCATCTCAGCAGCTCACGGTGTGGAAACTGCGACACTCACGCGGGTGCCATCTCAGCAGCTCACGGTGTGGAAACTGCGACACTCACGCGGGTGCCATCTCAGCAGCTCACGGTGTGGAAACTGCGACACTCACGCGGGTGCCATCTCAGCAGCTCACGGTGTGGAAACTGCGACACTCACGCGGGTGCCATCTCAGCAGCTCACGGTGTGGAAACTGCGACACTCACGCGGGTGCCATCTCAGCAGCTCACGGTGTGGAAACTGCGACACTCACGCGGGTGCCATCTCAGCAGCTCACGGTGTGGAAACTGCGACACTCACGCGGGTGCCATCTCAGCAGCTCACGGTGTGGAAACTGCGACACTCACGCGGGTGCCATCTCAGCAGCTCACGGTGTGGAAACTGCGACACTCACACGGGTGCCATCTCAGCAGCTCACGGTGTGGAAACTGCGACACTCACGCGGGTGCCATCTCAGCAGCTCACGGTGTGGAAACTGCGACACTCACGCGGGTGCCATCTCAGCAGCTCACGGTGTGGAAACTGCGACACTCACGCGGGTGCCATCTCAGCAGCTCACGGTGTGGAAACTGCGACACTCACGCGGGTGCCATCTCAGCAGCTCACGGTGTGGAAACTGCGACACTCACGCGGGTGCCATCTCGGCAGCTCACGGTGTGGAAACTGCGACACTCACGCGGGTGCCATCTCGGCAGCTCACGGTGTGGAAACTGCGACACTCACGCGGGTGCCATCTCGGCAGCTCACGGTGTGGAAACTGCGACACTCACGCGGGTGCCATCTCGGCAGCTCACGGTGTGGAAACTGCGACACTCACGCGGGTGCCATCTCGGCAGCTCACGGTGTGGAAACTGCGACACTCACGCGGGTGCCATCTCGGCAGCTCACGGTGTGGAAACTGCGACACTCACGCGGGTGCCATCTCGGCAGCTCACGGTGTGGAAACTGCGACACTCACGCGGGTGCCATCTCGGCAGCGCACGGTGTGGAAACTGCGACACTCACGCGGGTGCCATCTCGGCAGCGCACGGTGTGGAAACTGCGACACTCACGCGGGTGCCGTCTCGGCAGCGCACGGTGTGGAAACTGCGACACTCACGCGGGTGCCGTCTCGGCAGCGCACGGTGTGGAAACTGCGACACTCACGCGGGTGCCGTCTCGGCAGCTCACGGTGTGGAAACTGCGACACTCACGCGGGTGCCGTCTCGGCAGCTCACGGTGTGGAAACTGCGACACTCACGCGGGTGCCGTCTCGGCAGCTCACGGTGTGGAAACTGCGACACTCACGCGGGTGCCGTCTCGGCAGCTCACGGTGTGGAAACTGCGACACTCACGCGGGTGCCGTCTCGGCAGCTCACGGTGTGGAAACTGCGACACTCACGCGGGTGCCGTCTCGGCAGCTCACGGTGTGGAAACTGCGACACTCACGCGGGTGCCGTCTC
This sequence comes from Homo sapiens, assembly GCF_000001405.40. Taxonomy (NCBI): domain Eukaryota; kingdom Metazoa; phylum Chordata; class Mammalia; order Primates; family Hominidae; genus Homo; species Homo sapiens. Next base: position 112,998 of record NW_025791804.1, on the reverse strand, counting down.
GGCAGCTCACGGTGTGGAAACTGCGACACTCACGCGGGTGCCGTCTCGGCAGCTCACGGTGTGGAAACTGCGACACTCACGCGGGTGCCGTCTCGGCAGCTCACGGTGTGGAAACTGCGACACTCACGCGGGTGCCGTCTCGGCAGCTCACGGTGTGGAAACTGCGACACTCACGCGGGTGCCGTCTCGGCAGCTCACGGTGTGGAAACTGCGACACTCACGCGGGTGCCGTCTCGGCAGCTCACGGTGTGGAAACTGCGACACTCACGCGGGTGCCGTCTCGGCAGCTCACGGTGTGGAAACTGCGACACTCACGCGGGTGCCGTCTCGGCAGCTCACGGTGTGGAAACTGCGACACTCACGCGGGTGCCGTCTCAGCAGCTCACGTCCAGGACCCCAGGCTGCACTGGCCCTCACGCCTCCTTAGTCCCCTGCACCGGTGACCCTTTCCTGGCCTGTCTTCGTTTCACCGCCTTGACAGCTTTGCAGAGTACTGCTCAGGTATTCTGCAAGATGCCCCTCAATTGGTGTGTGTGTGATGTTCTCTCTGATTACATTGGAACTGTGCGTTTGCGGAAGAACACGGCGGAGGTGGAGCGCTCTTCTCATCACGTGCTCTCAGGGGCCACGATGTCAACATGCCTCATCACTGGTGGTCTGGACCTTGATCACACGGCCAAGGTGAGGCCTGCCAGGTCTCCCCACGGGAGAGTGACTGTTTTCCTCTCCATGTCCTGCTGGTTAAGAGTGAGTCATGAAGTCCAGCATGAGCTCCAACTCCTACAGGAAGGAGCATCAAAGAATTTGGGCGCCGCGGTAATTACTGAACATTTAGGGGAGACACTTTGAGACTATACAAATATCTTCTTTCTCCTTAAACTTTGCACAGGAATTTTAGCATTCCTCAGGGGAGCTTGCCTGCAGCACTGATGGTGACTTTCTTTTTTTTCTTTTCTTTTCTTTCTTTCTTTCTTTTTTTTGAGACAGAGTTTTGCTCTTATTGCCCAGGCTGGAGTGCAGTGGCACAATCTCAGCTCACTGCAACCTCCCGGGTTCAAGCGATTCTCCTGCCTCAGCCTCCCAAGTAGCTGAGATTACAGGCATGTGTCACCAGGCCCAGCTAATTTTGTATTTTTTTGTAGAGACAGGGTTTCACAATGTTGGCTAGGCTGGTCTCGAACTCCTGACCTCAGGTGATCCACCTGCCTCAGCCTCCCGAAGTGTTGAGATTACAGGCACGAGCCACTGTGCCCGGCCTGATGGTGATTTTCCCTATTTACTCCACATTTCTTGTTTGGAATTTGTTCCAAGAAAGGCCTGTCCCTTTCAGTTTTTTGTTTTGTTTTGTTTTGTTTTGTTTTTGAGACAGAGTCTTGCTCTGTCACCCCAGCTGGAGTGCATTGGCGTGATCTTGGCTCACTGCAAGCTCCACCTCCCGGGCTCACACCATTCTCCTGCCTCAGCCTCCCGAGTAGCTGGGACTACAGGCGCTCGCCACCTCGCCCGGCTACCCTTTCAGTTTTAATTTATTCAATAATTTATTTATATGCTTACGAATCCATGGACATTCATTTTATTCTTTGGGGCATAATCCGATTTGTGTGTGTGTGTGTGTATGTCTGTGTGAGTGTGTGTGCACTCAAATCATTGTAGCTGTGGCCACTGGGAGCTCTTACATTTTGGGTTCCATGCCCTTTTGAAATGCCCACAGCTTTTTAAAAATTTTATTTTTGAGCATTTTCTTACTTCCTGGGACTACAAGATGCTCCAGGTTCATCTTGTATTTTCTCTCCCACATCCCAATTATCAGCCATTTCTCCAGGGAGACTTGGCTCCTTTTATTGAAGATGAAATTTAGAAACTAACATCTGGGCATGGAATGTGCTTGCTGCTACTGGGGTGTCCCCTCTCAAAGGACAAACCCAGGATCTACAGATGTGTGTGCTAAGCCATGTATGCACACGCACGTGTGTGTGTATATATTTAACCTATCTGTATATATGTATTATGTAAACATGAGTTCCTGCTGGCATATCTGACTATAACTGACCACCTCAGGGTCCATTCTGATCTGTATATATGTATCATGTAAACACGACTTCCTACTGGCATATCTGACTGTAACCGACCACCTCAGGGTCCATTCTGATCTGTATATATGTATCATGTAAACATGATTTCCTACTGGCATATCTGACTATAACTGACCACCTCAGGGTTCATTCCGATCTGTATATAAGTATCATGTAAACACGAGTTCCTGCTGGCATATCTGACTGTAACCGACCACCTCAAGGTCCATTCTGATCTGTATATATGTATCATGTAAACACGAGTTCCTACTGGCATATCTGACTATAACTGACCACCTCAGGGTCCATTCTGATCTGTATGTATGTATCATGTAAACACGAGTTCCTACTGGCATATCTGACTATAACTGACCACCTCAGGGTCCATTCCGATCTGTATATAAGTATCATGTAAACACGAGTTCCTGCTGGCATATCTGACTGTAACCGACCACCTCAGGGTCCATTCTGATCTGTATATATGTATCATGTAAACACGAGTTCCTGCTGGCATATCTGACTATAACTGACCACCTCAGGGTCCATTCTGATCTGTATATATGTATAATATATATTATATATGGACCTCAGGGTCCATTCTGATCTGCATATATGTATAATATATATTATATATGGACCTCAGGGTCCATTCTGATCTGTATATATGTATCATGTAAACATGAGTTCCTGCTGGCATATCTGTCTATAACCGACCACCTTAGGGTCCATTCTGATCTGTATATATGTATAATATATATTATATATGGTCCTCAGGGTCCATTCTGATCTGTATATATGTATCATGTAAACATGAGTTCCTGCTGGCATATCTGTCTATAACCGACCACCTTAGGGTCCATTCTGATCTGTATATATGTATAATATATATTACATATGGACCTCAGGGTCCCCGCTGGCTTTTCCATGACTTCCTTATCCAGCTGTGAGAACCCTGACTCTTACTACTGTATTGACTTATTTGTGAAACCTTAGTATATATAAAAGTAGTTTCAAAGTTGCTAACATGTATTGCTGTGGGAAACAATTTTACCAATTGGAGTTTAGTGCTTAGATATGCAGAGTTATTTGATTCTTTCCAGAATCTAATCAAAACACTGTTTTTGGACTTACCCAGGTCAGCTCCTTTCTGCCCACTCTTTCAGCGCAGGCGTGTCCTGCTGTGGAACACACTCTGGGATTCCTGTGTGGGTCTGTACCCATCCTGTACCCGTCAGGACCCCCAGGCCCCAACTCTTGATGTTGTTCTTGCTCCTCTTGTTGATCTTGTTGTTCCCACAGTGAGGTCCAGTCCTGTGGGGTTTGACAAACACAGCATCACGTACCCAGCTCTGTAGAGCCACACAGAAGACTTTCATCCCTCAAAAATGGCCCCAGTTCGGCCCCTCGGTAGTAAACTCCTCTCCCCTCACTCACCCACTGGCAAACACTGATCTGTTTCTGTCCCGATAATTGTGTCTTTCCATATACACAAAAGTGAAGTCTGAGGGTGAGGCCCATGGCCTTGGGAAGCAGGCATAAGTTGGGGGGGGTGGGCACACAGGGTCACCGCGGAAGAAGATCCATGCTGCCCACACAGCCACATGTGGGACAGGGCAGGACCAGCCCCCCAAGCTGTGAACCTCGCCCGAGGCTATGCCCCACTCTGGAGCAGAATGGCCTCTGCAGAGCTTCCACCATGCACATAGGGAGTGCACAGCCAGGCCAGGAAGGGGAGGGCCCCTGTCTGCAGAGACAGGCCCATCCTGGACAGGAGGGAACAGCATTCCAGGCAGATCCGCCACTGGCTGCTGTTCCCAGAGTGGCTGTGTCCCCTCTGCAGCGTCCATGCCGGCCTCCCCTGCCTCCCTCTGCAGCTGTCGCTCTCCACCCTCCTCTCCTTTCTTCTCTCCATCCCCCCTCCATCCCCGTCTCCTTTCTCCTCTCCATCCCCCTCTCCATCCCCCTCTCCATCTCCCTCTCCTTTCTCCTCTCTAGCCCCCTCTCCTTTCTCCTCTCTATCCCCCTCTCCTTTCTCCCTCTCCATCCCCCTCTCCTTTCTCCTCTCCATCCCCCTCTCCTTTCTCCCTCTCCATCCCCCTCTCCTTTCTTCATGGCTCTTTCCCTTTCCTGCCACAACTGAACTGAGTGCAGGTGATTTTCGCTGCCTGCTGGCTTTATTCAGCTTCAACTTCTTGACTTTAAAGGTGGATGCAGGAAATGTGTGTCTTGTGTCACACATGGAAATGTTGCTGAAATAAGTTACTCTTCACTGATGTGGCCTCGAGGGTTTTCTGCTGGGTTTCTGGACCTTGTAAGCAAAGCAGACCCTCACCCGACTGACCTCCTGGCTGTGACGATGTGTGTTTCTATCCCACACAGGGAGGGTGTTTATGGTCTGAAGTGAGGCCTCTCATTAACTCCTCAAGAGTCGATTGAAGCACAATTTATTAGAGCCCAGAAATCATGGCAATCCATTCCCACAAGCACACAGCACAGCTAAACCAGCTCCAAGGAGGGTCCGAGTGTCCACAACTGCACCCCAGGCCCATTGTGCCTGCCGCTGGAGAGCGTGGGGCCCCTTGGCCCCTAAAGGTTTGCTGAGAAGTCACTGACATGAGACAGATGGATTAATAGGAGAAACGGTATGCAAATTTATGTGATGTGTACATATAAGAACCTTTAGAACGAAGACCCAACGATGGGGGAAATTGTCCATTTTTATGTTTAGGTTTAATAACGTATGAACAGTCCTCTAAAAAAAGGATTGGACACAAAGGGCTTGATCTAATGTGAATAGACTGAGTGGGAACCCAGCAAGGTCTGTCTAGATTTGTCTTCGTCTCTGAGCATTTTCTTCTCTGGACGTGGGGCAGGGCCCTCTCTGGAATGACAGTCTCATGACCTACAGTCAAACAAGGGATGTTGGATCATTTCTCTCTAGTCAGCTCTTATATAGAAAGGTAGACGGAAAACTGAGTAATATTTTTAGGTTTTCTGACCAGCTTTGGGGAGAAGGGGTTCTGATTTCTGTGACCGGCCTTGGGGAAAAAGAGAGTCTGGTTTCTACAGCGCCTTCGGGGAGAATGAGACTGAGAGACAGGAGGGCAGGAGAAGGTCAGAGACAACTTTTGCTTCTGAGGCTGCTGCTGAGGACTTCATTTTGGGGCGTTGTTTTCTGAGCCCCAACAGAAGGAAGGAAGCCTCTCCCTCCAGGGGTCAGTCCTGGGCCTCAAGGGCACCCTCGAAGCAGGCAGCTCAGCTCACAGAGCTCCCCTCGGCCATGTCCTCCACCTGCCCTTCCTTGGTCCAGCACCTCACCTGCACACACCTGTCTGGAGAGTCCCCGAGGTTGGAGAGCTGCTGAGTCAGCTGGGCCGAGCACACAGCGCAATACTTCCTTGTGCCTCCTAACCAGGATGGGCGACACCAGCCCATTTTATGGATGGGACAAGAAGAAGCTGGGCTGACAAGCCCAACATAGTGGAGCCAGCAACAGGCTTTTACTCTCCTCTCTGTCTCTTTGTCTCTCTCCCCCACCGCACCTCCATCCGCTCCATTCTCCTCTCTGCACATCAGCTTCCCAGACAATATTCTTGGTTTCTGTGGCTCCCAAACTGAAGCTTCCCCACAGTGGCTGCAACTATCCAGACCTGGGGCCACACTTGGGCCTCCAGGCAGGGGATCTAGTGATCACATTCTGGTCATGTCATCAGGCCAACTTGGCTGAGCTCTGCCCTCCTTATCTCTCCTCTCCCCTCGAGCCCTCACCCTGGTTACCTGCACAAGTAAACTTGCCCCTAACTGACCCCCTTTTCTCCCTCCATGTCCCTCAATACAACACTAACTCTGGCAAAAAAGACCAGCCTGGCCAGGTGCGGTGGCTCACGCCTGTAATCCCAGCACTTTGGGAGGCCGAGGCGGGCAGATCACAAGGTCAGGACATCAAGACCATCCTGGCTAACACGGTGAAACCCCGTCTCTACTAAAAATACAAAAAATTAGCCAGGCATGGTGGCAGGCACCTGTAGTCCCAGCTACGCGCGAGGCTGAGGCAGGAGAATGGCGTGAACCCGGGAGGCGGTGCTTGCAGTGAGCCGAGATCGCGCCACTGCACTCCAGCGTGGGCGACAGCGAGACTCCGTCTCAAAAAAAAAAAAAAAAAAGACCAGCCTGAAGCAGAGATTGGGTCCCAGCCTGGCTCTGCCTGGCCCTCTGCTCCCGCTTCACCTCACAGACAGAACGCTGCCCTGTGGAGGGGTCCCCGGACCCTTTGGTGGGTGCCAAGCGGGTATGGAGGCCAAGGCCTGAGTGGTGAGAATAGTCCAGGGGCTAGCGCTGCGTGGGGAGGGCGAGCTCAGAGAGCAGGGGAGCCTGACCCTGCAGGTCAAGACTTCTGTCTGAGAGAAATGAAAAGCTGGGGATTTTAAGCAAAGGAATGCCTTGACCCAACCCTCACAACTTACATAATAATTAACTTAAAAGGAATCATAAGTTTAAACAGAAAATCTATATAAGAGGTTTACAGTTTAATTTAAAAACTATAATAGGTTTATAGTTTTTAAATTAAAATTTTAAATATAGTGGTTTATAAAACTTTGAGAAGAAAACATAAAATCCCTATGAATGCTGCAAAAGTCACTGTTGAGAGAATGAAAACACAAGACATACAGTTGGAGAAAATATTTGTGAATCTCATATCTGGCAAAGGAATTGTATCTAGAATACATAAAGAACTCTCAAAATCCAACAGTAAAAACACCAAATAATCCAGTTACAAACCGGGGAAGGACTTGAACAGATGCGTCACCAAGCAAGGGATATGGATGGGAAATAAGCTTCCATCAGCCACCAGGGAGATGCAAATTACAGCCACTAGGAAACGCTTTTCATTCATTCCGGGATGGCTGAAATGTAAGCACGGAAAATGCTGGGTGCCCGCAAGAACGCGGAGCAGCAGGCACTCATTCCCGATTAGCGGGAGCGCAAAGCGAAGGGGCGGCCTGTGGTGTTTTCCTGTAAAGTTGGGCACACGCTTCCCACATGACTCAGCAATTGCACTTCTGGGTATGTACCCGAGAGAAACAAAAGCTTATGTTCACACAAAAACCTACAACGCAAATGCACAAACAGCTCTATCCAACAACCATCCCACCCTGGAAGCAACCCAAACACGCTTCAGCGGCACAGGCGCCTCCACGCGGAACCCCACGCGGCGCTCAGCACGGACGAGGAGGGAGCCGCGCACGCGCGGTCGGCTCGGCGAGGAGCCGGTCTCCAAGTGCCGCCAGCTGCGGGATTTCCTCTGCAAAAGACAAACCACAGGGAGAGCTGCCGGGGCTGGGTCGGGGAGTGTGACTGTGAACGGAGTTCTGGGGGTGATGTAACTGTTCTGTATCCACAGTGTTGCTACATGAATCTATAAATGTGTTAAACTCATAGAACTGTACACCGAAAAATAGCAGTTTTGCTGAATGTTAATTCAGAAATGAAATTAAAATTTTAAATTAACAACAAGCAACTTTACAAGAGAAAAAAAAAAACCTCATTTCCTCCCCACAAAGCCACCTCATGAGCCTGGGTGGTGCCTAGCCAGTCCTGCTGCTGAACCTGCTCTGACCTGGCCTAAGGGTAGGACTCGAGGCTGGGAGCCAAGGGCCAACCACAGGACAGGCAGCAAGACCCGCTTCGCTGGTCTGTCACACACACCGCACCAAGTCTGTGCTCAGGATAAACCGGGGCACACTCTGAGCTGGGCCTGTCTCCGGCTTCAACCAAAAAGCCTGAGCTCTAGCAGGTGAAGGACCAGACGTTTCTGTGGGGCTATGGACTTGTCTGGGAGGCAGCCACCTCTAAGCCACCCAGGATGGTTTCGGTTGTGTTTGGATGGAGTTCTGAGTTTTGCCAGTTAAAATTCCCCCTTCAGGAGCTCTCTATGGGGTTAAAGTGCAAGATTTGGGGTAGAAAAATGACAAGTCAGAGGACTGGAAGGAACATTATGGACTGTCCTCCCTTCTGCCTGAAGAGATGGGGAGACTCTCCCAGGCCATGTGGAAGACCTCACAGGGGGACCAACTGCTGCCTTTCAGCCTGGCCGAGGGAAGAGCCCCTGACTCAGCCTCCGCAGGAGGAGGTGGGCTGGAACCAAGTTTCCCTGCATCAATCCAGGCAGGCAGCCCCGAACAGTGCACTCCAACATGGGATAGTGAGCCAGCTTGGGGGACGGCAGCTGTCTAAACAGGAGCGTGCAACCCCCATGCTGAGAGCTCCCCAGGGTCACGACTACCCAGAGTCAGAGCTGCCCAGGGTCACAGCTACTCGAGGTCAGAGCTGCCCCAGATCAGGGCTGCCCAAGGTCAGAGCTGTCCTGGGTCAGAGCTGCCCACGGTCAGAGCTGTCCTGGGCATCAGAGGCGCAGAGGTGGGAAGGGCTGGCTTCAGGTGGGAGTTATAGGTGGGAGTTATGCTACAAAGGGTCTTGAAGGCCAGTGTTGTTGACAGGGTAGGGTGCCTGGGTAATAGCAGAGGAAGAAAAAGGCTTAGAGTTGGAGGGAAAAACATGAACTGGAGTTGGGGGAGTGCACCTGCCCCCTCAGAGACCACAAAGCCTCCCCAGGGCTGGGCTGTGGCTGCTGGAGCTCCCAGCCCATGCCAAGTGTCAGAGCCCGGGCAAGACCCTCTGGGGTAGCCCGGGACCACCAGAGGTCAGAGCTGGAGGAGGCTCAGCTGGGGCCCTTGCACCAGGCAGGAGGCCCAGAAAAGAGACAGTGCTCTTGAACTGCAGGAAGGCAGCTCCGTAGAGAGGCAAATCTCACTCCAGCTCGGGCAATACTCAACTACACGGACGTGGATGCTCTCAAGGGGGCTTTGGGGCATGTGGTGTCGGCATTGGACCCAAATATGGGCTCAAAGCTTTCCTTTACCATATTCTTTCTACATTTTTCTTGCAGATTGAGAAGGGATAGGGAGGAGTTTAGGGAAGTGAGTGAAGCAGGAAGATGTTGACCAAGGGAAGTTAATTCCATAAAGAGGAGGATGAGGGGACAGAAAGGCAGGAGGAAGAGGAGGAGGAGAATCTTCGCACAGGGGGTGTCAGCTGATGGGGGCAGCATGGGCGCCCATGGAGCCCTTTAGGGGTCGTTGGTTGTGTGCAGAGAGGCCACAGCAGGCGAGGCAGGCAGTGTCTACCAGCCCCAAGGAGACACCAAGAATCCCTGTCCTTAGGAAGTCCCCTCTTCCTCCTCTTGAGTCTCATCTCGGAAAGAGGGAGCTGTCAGTCAGAGCTCAGGCCAAACACTGGGGCTAATAGGTGAGAGCAGGGACCTGTGGGGTCCTCACCGCTGTCCCCTTCTCACCTTTCTGGCTCAGGCCAGGCTCAGCCCCCAGTGGTCTATTGTCTTTCTATCTGTCATCTATCTACCTACCCACCTATGTAACCATGCCATCTATTTCATCTATTTTTATCTATCAACCATCTATCATATATCTACCTACCTACCTCTGCCCTTCTTTCTCTCTACAAATTAGAGGCCACATCCCTGGCCGCTGAAGCCTTGTACCCTGACCCACTGTCTGAACCTGATGGAGTCTAAATGCAGTGAGCGGGTGCCAGCCTTCCCTGGAGCTCTGCAGAGGCAAGGAGGGGGTGGATGGAAAGACGGGAGTCCCTCCCCTTAGGTGAGGGGGGGAACTAGGGCCCGGGGAGATGCCCAGGCCTGGCGGCTGGCGTACGTGGGTTCTCTGTGGCCAGCAGGCGGCGCTGCAGGAGGGGAGATGCCCAGGCCTGGCGGCCGGCGCACGCGGGTTCTCTGTGGCCAGCAGGCGGCGCTGCAGGAGAGGAGATGCCCAGGCCTGGCGGCCGGCACACGTGGGTTCTCTGTGGCCAGCAGGCGGCGCTGCAGGAGGGGAGATGCCCAGGCCTGGCGGCCGGCGCACGTGGGTTCTCTGTGGCCAGCAGGCGGCGCTGCAGGAGAGGAGATGCCCAGGCCTGGCGGCCGGCACACGTGGGTTCTCTGTGGCCAGCAGGCGGCGCTGCAGGAGAGGAGATGCCCAGGCCTGGCGGCCGGCGCACGTGGGTTCTCTGTGGCCAGCAGGCGGCGCTGCAGGAGAGGAGATGCCCAGGCCTGGCGGCCGGCACACGCGGGTTCTCTGTGGCCAGCAGGCGGCGCTGCAGGAGCGCTCAGAAGCAGGGGCCTGGGCCTGCTCCGGGGGAATCCGCCCACCCCACCGCGGCGGCCTCTCCTGAGGTTCCCTAGTGGCCGCGAAGGGTGGGCTCAGGGTGAGGGGTCAGGCCACATCAGTGGGTGCAGGGATGGCTGCGGCCACGGGAGGGCGTCCAGGGAGGAGGCCGGAGCTCAGGCCCACTCTGCACACCCAGCCCGCCACCTCCCCCGGCTCTCTCTTCCTTCGTGCACATTCTGGGGCTTGTGCTTCTGCTGTGGTCCCATTTAGCCAACCTGGCCAGCCTCTCATGCCTGCTTCATGGGTGAGACGTGGAGGCCAGGTCAGCCACAGACCCCGGGGCACACGCCGCAGCCAGCACAGCAGGTGGGCGTCTGCGGCCGGGGCCAGCGCAGGGCCCACTGGGCCTCGGAGGGGCCTCCCTGCCGACTCTGCCCCCGTCCTGTGGCCGTAAGTCCACCCAGAGCGCTCGATCTTCCGTCCACCAGGCCAGGGATGCGCGCAGAGTAAGGATGTGTGTGTCTACGCATGTGGGGGTGTGGGTGTGACGGGGTGTGTTCTGTGTGAGAACATGTGTGTAGTGTCCACATGTCCTCTGTGCGTGAGTCCCTGTGTGTGATGTTGTGTTCTGGGTGTGAGTTCATGGGTGTGACGGGGCGTGCTGTGTGAGAACATGTGTGTAGTGTCCACATGTCCTCTGTGCGTGAGTCCCTGTGTGTGATGTTGTGTTCTCGGTGTGAGTTCATGGGTGTGACGGGGCGTGTGCTGTGTGAGAACATGTGTGTAGTGTCCACATGTCCTCTGTGCGTGAGTCCCTGTGTGTGATGTTGTGTTCTCGGTGTGAGTTCATGGGTGTGACGGGGCGTGTGCTGTGTGAGAACATGTGTGTAGTGTCCACATGCCCTCTGTGCGTGAGTCCCTGTGTGTGATGCCTGTGTTCTCGGTGTGAGTTCATGTATGTGTGTGTGAGTTTATGCTCTTGTGTGTCAGCACATGGGTATGATGTGGGTATGTTCTCTCTGTGGGTGAAAACGTGTGTGATGTGGTTCTTTGTGAATCTCTGTGTGTGACGTGGTGTGTTCTCTGTGTGAGTCTGTGTGTCTGGTGAGTGTGTCTGGGTGTGTCTGGGTATGTGCGTGCTGTGTGTCTGTAGTATGTGTTCCTGTGTCTCTCTAAGCTGGTAGCTTCATCTCTTCCATGTTCTCTGACATTCAGAGGAATTTTCTCACAAATGTGTCCACAACATGGCTGTGTGCCATTTCTCCTGCTTTGGGGAGCACCAGTGTCTGCAGAGAGAAACGTCCCTGCTCCTGCCCCTGCATTCACGGCATGACCCTGTTTGCCCAGCTTCCCCCCATACACAGCCCCGGACACACCCTCCTGGGGGAATGTGGTGGGCTCCGCACTGACCGCAGGATCTGCCTCTCACCAGGGATTCATATCCACACGAAAGGGCCAGAGCAACAGCTGGCACATCCCCTTCCTTCCTCCACCGTTCCCACTTATTCTTCAACCAGCCCTAACCAGGCAGGGAGCCCAGGTCCCACGGAAAATCTCTATGAGAAAGTAAGACAGAGGGCAGACCTCCGCCGTGGTCCCTGGAGAACCAGTCGGCGCTGACACCAGGAGCAGGAACTTACTCTTTCCCAGAGGCAGGCAGGGACGGTCATCCTTGCCCAGAGGCCTCGCCTAGAGTGGGGTCCCAGCCCTGCAAGGGACCCCTAGGAAGGGAAAAGGAGCCACTTGTACATCCTTGCTTCCTACGGAGCCCTCACATGGAGCACATGGCCACTTCGGTCTGGGTCTCTCCGTGCTGCTCACTGTGCTGGTGGGGTGTGCTGCGGAGGTCTCTGGGGAGGTCCCAGGAGCGAGAATGGACCAGGCCCAGGGTAGAGGTGCAAGAGGGTCCTGCCCTTGGCTCCCTCCCCCGGCACAGGCCAGTCAAGGTGGAGAGGAGGCCCCAGCTTGTCCAGCTGGCAGAGGCTAGCCAGGGGGACTGACATGGTGTCACTCTAACCCTCATTTTTCTCAGCCCTTCCATTCCTTATGACTTCTTGCTAGGAGAACCCTGACACCATCCCTGCTGACACTGGAGATATTCCAGAGAGGCCGATCGTCATTGAAAGGGAATGCTCCGTGAACCCTCTGAGCCCTCTTTGACTTCAGAAGCAATAGTATCACAGCTCACAAATTCAGTAGAAAGTCCGAGTTGCATCAGTTTGGAAGTCATGCGGTCAGGCTTCCTGTACCCAGAGGGTGATTCAGCCGCAGAAAGCTCTGGGCTGCACCCCACCCACCCCTGGCCTTCAGGGCCCAGCCACATTGAGGCTGCAGGCGAGCCTGGCCCCCATGCCTGAGAGCCAGATTCCATTCCCTGGCAGCCTCACCTTGGATCGGACAGGGAGGGATCCTAGGACACCAGCCTCGTCTATCCTCCCTGGGACACCCTAGAACCTCACAGCCTGTGGGAAACACCAGGGCATGGAGGGTCAAGCCTACAAAATCCCCCAGTAGGTGATTAGGATAAGGTGAGCACTGGCCCTAGCTGACTCAGGCCAGCCCCCCAAGCAGCCAGACCACGTGAGAAGTGATGGCCACACAATGCTCTGGGTGTCTCAAGGAAAGTCCAAGAGCAGTGGCACTCCGGGCTGCATCCTTGGAGTAAGCACAGAGCAAGACCCCAGCATGCTTTGCAGACCCCGCCTTATGAGCCCTGCACCCCACTGCTCCGGGAGGGGTCAGCACCCCCATGCCAGGGCTGGTTTTCGGGGTGGGTGCCTGGACAATCTGAAGGACCTTTCGGCCACAAGGTGTTGAGAACTCTGCAGAGGATGCTGGGGATTAGCACAACAAGCTCTGCTCCTTCAGGCTGTGCGAGGCCTCATGAAAGCTCCTAAAAATCAGAGGAAGGGCCATGGCAGAGCCTGGGACAAGTGGGCAGCTCACAGAGGGGACTGGGTGCTTGCCATTAGCCCAGACTTCTCCCACTGCTCCTGCCTCAACTGCTACTGCCCGGAGTCTAAGCCCACTTTGTTGACAAGTACCCATTCTATAGAGAGCCTCGCCTAACTCCAGGTAGAGGCAGAAAAGTGTGTGTAGATCAAATGGCCCAGCTGGCAGCAGAGCCAAAAGTCATGCTTACTTGCTGGCCAGCCTTGCACAAGGCACCAAGGGTCACCTCTGCAGGCTTCAGATCCTGCCCTCTGTGAACAGTCAAAAAGAAGGTGTCAGAAGGAGCTAGAGGATGCAAGGGTGGCCAAGGGGCACAGAGGAGGGTCAGGTTACACTGGGAGGGAAGAGAGGCAGCCTTTGCATTCTCTAGGAGAAGCAGGGCGGGAGACTTTGGAGCCCAGCTCCCTGATGGGACATATGGGAACCTGCGGGGACAGGAGAGTGTCTTTGATAGGCGAGCCCAGTGCCTCTTACCTTCAGGAGGGCGCCTGAGCTGTGAAGTCTGCCCCTGTTGCTCAGAGATAGTTCCCTCCAGCAGGAAAACCTCTTTGAGGTGAGTTACGGCTTCTGGAGGCACAAGGATGGGCCGAGGTCACCAGGCCTTGCCTGTCCACCTTACCTACCCTGAAGTGCATGACCTTTCTTAGGGACAGAGCCTCTCTAGTTAATCTTAGAGCCTGGCCAGGAGCCCAGGATGGGGCAGCATGGGGCACAACACTTACTAGATGGTCAGGCGAGGGGAGCAACTGGGACCCTCCCCTCCAGTTCGAGCCATGTGTGTCATGTATGTGCATGTACATGTGTGTATGTAATGTGAAGTCAGATGTGTGTATGTGTGCATATGCAAGGACATGCTAATGTGTGTGTGCATGTACACGTGTGAATCTGTGCAAGCACATACAAGTGTGCATGGGCGTGGACATGTATGTGCATGCATGTGGAAGTAAGTGTACAGGTACAGTCTGAATCTGTGTGTGCACACACAAGTGTGCATGGGTGTGGGCATGTGTGTATGTGCATGCATGTGGAAGTGTGGAAGTGTACAGGTACAGTCTGAATCTGTGTGCACACATAAGTGTGCATGGGTGTGGGCATGTGTGTATGTGCATGCATGTGGACGTGTGTGAGTTGCCCTAGCACATGTTTGTACATATGCTTGTGTGCACCCATGCTAGGCTGCTCTCCCTCCTGGTTCTCTTTCAGGACAGGCCAAGTGAACCAGGGCGAGCTCTTCTCTCCCTCTGACGGCCCCTCCACAGGAGAGGGACCTGGGACCAAGGTTCCTTCAGCCATCAGACCCTAAGTCTCAGGGCACAGGGTCAGAAAGCTTCTAAGGACCCATGAAAATATAGAAACTGGGTGAAATTAACTCTTATTGGCCCGACATATGAAAAGAAAATTGCTTTTGAGCTTCCAGGAGATCTTCTCAGGTTTTGTTTTGGGGATTTCCTGGGAAGGGCATGTTTCCAAACAAGACTCTTGCCGTCTGCTCCCCCGGAGCTCCCCAACCAGCCAGGAGAGGCCACTGGCAGGGAAGAAGGTCCAGCCCAGCACAGACTCCCCAGGGAGGGCCCCAGCCCAGTGGAAGGACCATGGAAACCATGTCAGTCTCCCTCAGCGGCTGCCCTGGGTTGACATGTCCCCTTAGGGATCTCAGGCTCTCAACCCTCTAGTCAATTCTGAGCTGAGTTTTTCTGGAGCTTTATATTCAACTCTGACTTTGCTTCCCTTCACCTCTACTCCCCACCCTAGAAATAGAAACCTGAGGTCAGGAAGTGCTGAGGGTCCTTGGGTTTGGTGTCGGGGAAGACACCGTGCTGACTCGAACCCACTAGGCCTGGAGCCCAAAAGTCCCTTCTCTGTGACCTGCGACAAGCCTCTACAGCCACGTCTCCTTCCCTGTGGTAACCGAGTGACACCAATTGGCTCCCAGCCACCGCTGGGCCTCAGGCAGTTGCAGTGGCTTCGGCACTGGCTTTGCTGAGCCAGTGACAGCGACGGCACCTCCTGGATGTGAAATGTGCCAACACCCTGGCCTCGGGGACCGTACGGCGTGGTGTGAAATTTCTGTTTTAACGCTCCATGACCACATAGGTCTTGGCTTTTTATGAGTAAAGCAGAGACCGTGTTGTACCCAAGCTCTCTGGGTGGCACCCACAGCTTCCTCAGCGGGGTAACGGTGACGGGTGGACAACTGGCCCACAGGCAAACTGCACGTCCCCCACGGCGAGCATCTCTGAGCTGCACTGACCAGTTCAGGCCCATGCGTCACCGGCATTTTTCTGAGCCAGCTCCTCTGGTTCATGAGAAGGTCTGAATTCAAGAAATGAACGCCCAGCAATTAGCAATGTCCACAGAATCAAAGGAGCATGGTTTTAGTTGTCCTCCCAGGCAGCTTTGCCAGTCCGGGTATGAGGTAAAGCCAGAGGGACCCTGCCTCACCCACGCGCCCCAAGAGGGGTCCAAGGACCACCGACTGTCCCCACTTCCCTGGAACTGAGGATGAGGCTGATTCATGTGTTTCCTGTGACGGCCACGACATCATCATATCCGCTCGGAGAACTATTTTTAACTGATTTATGTATTTCTTGTATGAGGAAGACACCAACTTCTCCTTTAGTCAGTTTTACAGGAAAGTACTGCAGCTGTGCTCAGCTCAGCAATATTAATCGCCACAGAGCACCCTCCGAAGTCTTGCAAAAATTAATAAAGTTGGAAATATGAGTCAGGTTTGGATGCCACTCATTCTGAAAAAGAAGAAACTCAATAATAGTTACCTTCTCCTGTAGAATCAACGAGCCCAGTTTGCGAAAGAGCACCCTGTGTCTTTAAATTTCCGTGGCGTGCCCACAGAGGAAGGTGTTCCGACCTCTGCTGCCGCTGCAGCTCCGGGGCACTGACCACACAGAGCTGGTTTCTGCACTTGCATCGCTTGCCCGAGAGCTAGTCACCGCGGGCGTGGGCGAGGCTGCCAGGGGCCACCTGCCTGCCAGAGCCAGGGTGCCTATCTTTAAGGCCAGGGGCTCCTGAGGACACAGACACTTCCCTCCTCTTTCAGACAAGGACAAGCTCAGGGACATGGGTGGTTTGGGCTCAGGCTGACCGGGAAAGACACGTAGAAAGTTTGGTGTGCGCTCTGGGTTGTGGGGGCCCGGCGGGAGGGTGGGCTTCAGGATCCCGTCCCAGGACGCGTTCATTCAGCGGCACTCACACCCCCAGCACCTGCTCCCGGCGGGTGCCGAGGCTTCTTTCACTCTTCTTAGCATCTCCCCATCACTCACTTGACTCCAACCAACAGCCACTTATGTACCAGCTACGCGCCAGGTTGCTGAACAGCTCTGAGCAATTAAAGGGCAGCCAGGAGCAGCTGGGAGAGGAGGGGCTGGAGGAGGAAGAGGGGTCCAGGACCCAGGGGCTCACGGGGCATCCCGAAGTCTTTGTGGAGACCTAGGGTTGGGGCTGCAGCAGGGGGTCGGGGGGCAGCCAGAGATCCCGGTAGACCCGGGAGGGGCCTGATCAAGGAGAAGGAGGGGCCACAGAGCCAGGGTCAGGACAGACTGTGAGGGGGCCTCTTGTTGGGACAGCGTCCCCTCGGAGCAAGAGCCCGGGGCGTGTGGCCGCCTCACTGTGACCTCCGGCCGTGCAGGCCTCTGGGGAGGGTGGAGATGTTTTCCCCTTCTCAGAGCACGCAGGTGTTACCTGCCCACAGAGTAGGAAGTGGGGTGCTGTCACCTGCACCGCACAGGTGAGGAAGCTGAAAACCCAAGACCCAAGCCATTTGGTCTCACTCTGGCTGAATCACCTGGAGGCTTTGGGAAACAGATTTTCTTCCCCCTTCCAGCCTTACCGCCACCCTCCTCTCTTCTAGAAGAGGCAAGAAGAAGCGGGGGTGGGGGTGCAGGCCGAATTGCCTGGAGGTTAGGGGGACCCTCAGCACCTGAGTCAGGGCTCTGTGAGACCCCCTGGTTCTTCGCTCACTGTGGGCTGAGACGCAAGCTGAGTCGTCCACAGGAAGATACCCTCTTACTCTGAACAACCACTCTTTCAAAGAGGACACTGAGGCTCAGAGAGGCTCCCCAAAGCAATGGCCAGCCACCATGGGCAGGACGTGGACTCCGGCCCAGGAAGCCTGGCTCCAGAATCATGCTCCAGGCCTCTAAGCTGTAATTTGTGTCCTCCAGGGCTCACAATATCTAAGATTTAATGTGGAAAAATGGTGCTATTCTGTCTCACCCCATGCCCCAAAATGAACTTAAAGGCAAAAAAAAAAAAAAAAAAAAAGAATAATTATAAAGTTTGGAAGAAAATACAAGAGCATTTTGGTATAAAAATGCAAAATCCAAAGCCTTAAAGGAAACCATTTGACTACTTAAAATTTAAAAACTTTTATGTGATGAAAAGAACAACCTTAAAAAGGTAAAATAATAAGCAGCAGACTGGGAACGAATATCTGCAATGTAAACACAAAGTACTGATATTCATCATATATAAAGAACTCCCACAAATCAACAAGAAAAAAGCAAATGACTAGCTAGAAAAGTGGTAAAGGGTAAAAACAGAAACATAGTCAAATAAACTAATGAATATCACAAAATATCCAACCTCCCTATTAATCATAGAAATAAGAAATTGAAAAATATTTTATGACTAAATCTAGTGTTGCTCCAGTGAGGAAGGGATCCACTGACATGCCGTATGCAGGGGTGTGAATGGGAACAGGCTTTTGAGAGGTGATTTGGAGTCTCTATCACAAGTTTAAATGCACCTGCCCTGAGACGCCCATCCCTGGGAAGAGATGTCCGTGCAGATGTCTAAGGCACACGTCTGGAAACGGTGAAGACCTGAGAAGAACAATCCTTAAGGGTCCCAGCCCCTGAGTGTTCACCTTCCAGGGAAACCAGTCCTCATGGAGAACTCAGAGCCCTGGTGGGGTGGTTGCTGTGGTCTAGGGCCTTTGTCAAGGTTCATCCCAGGCTGGGCTTTTGGAGGGCAGGGAGGCCGCTAGTATCTGGGTGGCTGCCTGAGCCTGCAGATCCCACACCCAGCTGCCCCGAGGAGCTACTGTCCACCTGGTGGAGACTCAGGCTGGGCCCAACTCAGAACTAGGAGCAAGGGAGTGAAGCAGGGATGGGGTCCTGCAGAGGGGCGGTAGGGTCTGGCCCTCCTGGTCTGGGGGCCTCCCCGGGCGGGACAGTCCCTGTGTCCCACCCCAACCGCCTGCTGCTTTTTCTGGACCACCCCCCACCCCGTCCCCCGTTCCCCTCCAGGCTGGGCTTCCCACTGTCTTCCCACTGACTCAGCATCCGTCCTTCCCGTGGGGGCAGCAGCATCACTGCCTTCTCACGTGGAATCCCAGGGAGCTGCAGCCTCCACCCTGCCTTCTGGAGAGTTCTGTCTCTAATTTTATACGCCCTATCAGCCTGTTATTCGATCCAGATGCCTGTGAAATTTGCAGCGGGATCGTTCTGTGACGGGCGGTGGGCAGCCCAGGCAGGGCTGCCGTTTCGTGCATCAGCCCAGAGGTCTGAGAAGGGTGTGGCTCCTTCCCTGGGAAACAACATGGGACTAGTTCCAGAGCCAACACCCATCACTTTGCAACCCCCTGGGTAAGTGTGCGTGGGGGGGGGGGGGTGCTGAGCTGCAGCGGGGGGCAGAGGGCTCAGGCTGGACCACCCCTGCACCTTCCACAGTGAGGCCATCCCCTCCTGAGCCTCTGGCTCCTGGCCTATCCTCGCTCCCTCACCCAAGCCCCATGAGGATTCAGTAGCTTGAGAAGGACCCTCTGCTCACCAGAGGTCACAGTGACTGTGAGAACACCCTCCTGTCCTCTTCCCCCCATTCCTTCCTGGACCTTGGGACACTTCTGGGAGGCAGCGCCCTCTCCCAACAGAGTCTTCTCCACAGGGCAGCCACGGGGACTTTGAGGATACCAGGTCCTCACCCAGGCCCCCGTCTCAGAGTCAAAGCCGTAACTCCCATAGCACAGTGGCCTTCGAGATGCCCTCTTGTCACCCGCCAAGGGGTGCCGGCACTGAGTGCGAGGATTTGACTTCCCACAAGAGGAAAGCAGGTTCTTTCCCAGGGGCCATGCCAGGCCCCAGCACCTCTGCTGACCTGGCTCAGTGCGTCGGGGAAAAGGGGTGCCCAGCCTCCTCTGTGTCTCCAAGTCAGGGGCATCCCAAGGCACCTCACTTGGGTGCTCTCAGAAAAGACAGCCCTGAATCTCAGAGCCACCAAAGGCAGGCAGGATTCGAGCCTGGCCTCAAGCATGACTCTGGAACGTAAAGAGGAAAAGACGATTTAGGTTAACGTGGGACACAGCCGGTTTCCCGCCCAAACCAAGGTCCAGGGGGACTTCTCATCCCCAGCAGGGGGTGTGTCTACAAAGAACAACCACAAACTGGGGTCATTTCCAAAAGAAACACTCCCGGCTTCCTCCAGGGGCAGAGACCGAGGGGTCTGGGGGAGGAGGCTGGGGTGGGCAGAGGCCCGAGGTAGGGAGGTCCAGGGGCACATCCCAGGTCTGGCAGCATGGGCCGGGCCCTGCTGGGAGGGGGCTGAGGACCCCAGAGCCTAGGCCTGTCCTAAGCCTGTCCTTAGCCGGAGAGCCTCGGCCCTGTGCTGGCAGCAGGGTCTTCACTCCTTGCCAGCTCCACATAGGCAGTCAGGCTCAGGCCAGCCCCCAGCCAACAGCGGCTCCCAACACGCCCTGCCCTGTGGGAGATGCCAAGCTGGCATCCCTCTCGGGCCAGGCCAGGCCTCCTGGTGGTGTGGCCAGCGCTGGCACACAGTCCTGAATTCCTTCAAAGAACAACAAACTGAAAATCCAGCTGAGTTCAAATTTGCCCAAATTCCCACTTGAAGTTTCCCTGTCCCAGAGGGTGGTACCCGCCCCACCCCGGTGGGATGTGGTGAAGGCAGTGGCTCCTCCCGGCCATGAGGCATAAACAAATACCGCCTGGGCCACAGGGGCTTGGCCGGAGCCCTTGACTCAGCCCCACCCAGGCCCCCTCCTGCACCTCGACCGGCTCCTGGGGCTCCATGACCCACAAGCCAGCAAGTTTCTCAGCTGCCCTGACACAGCCTAAGACGGGTCTCAAGTCCCTGTCGTGCCCGTCCCAGGAAACCGGTCTTCACCTAGTCAGTCCCAGAGACCTTGCTCCTCACGCCCAAGGTGAGCAGCCCCGTGTGATTCTCAATCTTTCAGGGTTGACCCTGACCTAACCCACATCTCCACCTCAAGTCTCCCACTCCAGTCTGAGAAACCCTCCCCGCTCCAGCCCCTAAGCCCAGCCCAGCCCAGCCCCGCAGGGCCTCCTGACTCACCCAGATCTGTCCCCACAAGAGGCCTCCTCACTCCTCAGTGGGAGACTCCGTGGCGTGCAGGCTCCAGGGGCTCTGTGGTCCCGGAAGCGAAGGTGGGGCTGGAGGAGGAAGCGAAGCGGATGTCACCTTCCTTGAGGGATTCTGGAGCCGCTTCAGTGGACATCTTTGCCCTCTGACCTGAGCCTCTGATTGGGTCATGGGTGGCCAGCAGCACAGCTGAGCCTGTGTCCTGTGCAGCCCCAGCCCCTCCAGCGGGATCACTGGCCCGTTGGGGATGACAGAGAGACACTCCCCGTCCTCTGGAGCAGGGGTCCCCAGGCTGTGGTCTGTTAGGAACCGGCCGCGCGGCAGGAGGTGAGCGGTGGACCGGCCTGACCCTGAGCTCCGCCTCCTCTCGGATCAGCGGCGGCATTCACTTCTCACAGGAGCGTGACCCCTATTGTGAACTGCACGCAAGGGATCTAGGTTGTCCGCTCCTTATGAGAATCTAATGCCTGATGATCTGAGAGGGAAACCATCCCTTCTTCTCTCCAACACCCACAGAATAAGTGTCTTCCACAAAACCTGTCCCTGGTGTCAAAAGGGTTGGGGACCACTGCTCTGGTGGGAAGGTGCCAGGCCCCTCAGCCCCTTCCAGGAGACTGAGAAAGGGTTCAGGAAACCTGGGGGGCCGGCTGGTTCACCACCCTCCCCCCACCCTTGGCTCACCCAAGTCAGGGGCTCCACCCCAGCAGGCAGAGCTGACAACTCACAGGGGTGTCTGGGGAGGGCAATGTCCACTGCCATCTGCCAGGTCACGGGGGGATGCTGGAGGTCTGCTCTACCTCAGTTCCCCTGGCGTGGGTGCCTGGGGCTTCAGATTCACCCTTGTGTGGAGGTGGGGAGGCAGGATTGGGGAGGACCCTGAGTCTCCCAGGCAGGCAGCCTGGCACCGGGTGGGGGACTGTGATCCAGCAAACCTGCTCATTCTTGTGGGCGGCTAACGGCTTTTATTTCAGGACACCCACATGTGTTAAAACAGGAAATAAAGTATACGAGAAACAGCACCCCCACACACTCCCGGGTAAGGAGGCTTTTCCTCAGTCCTCCACTCACACCCACACAGCCCCAGGAGGGACCCCTAGGCACAGCCCACACCTCCACATCCCATCCAACCCCCACGTTCCTGGGCTGCTCTTTCTCTGAAGCATTTTAACACACAGGCGTGAGTGCACATACACACACACGTTTACCAACCATGCTTGGTCCCTGTAGCGTCTCCTTCCACCTGGGGCAGGTGACATAAGGGGTCAGGTGCCCGCTGACTCAGGACTTGTGGTTCCTGGAACTCTCAAACTGTGGCTGCATGAGTCCCACCCTGAGGGCTGATGGGGTGGACCCACAGAGTGCTGGACCTGCCCCAAACCTCAGAGCATGTCGGGCTGAATGTCCAGACACCGAGGAGCTTCGGGCAAGGTCAGGGGCCAGGCATCGTGACAGTGTCCCCAGGCAGCTGACCAGGAGAGGACAAGGCAGCTGAGAGGGCCAGGGGAGGGGGTGTGGGAATGCAGGGCTAGTGTCAGCAGGCCCAGCTGGGTGTGTGTCTCCTGGGAATCTGCTACAGGGGCCCTAGCACTGCGCTGTGCTCCCCGGGGGACCCCCACCCACCCAGGCCAGGGCCAGGGTGGTGGCTCCGTGTAGTGGCCAGTGCTGTTCAGGGTCTGGGGGCTGGTACAGGGGAGGAGCTGGGACAGGGGAGGGGCTTTGTACAGGGGAGGAGCTGGTACAGGGGAGGGGCTGGCACAGGGGAGGAGCTGGTACAGGGGAGGAGCTGGTACAGGGGAGGAGCTGGGACAGGGGAGGGGCTTTGCACAGGGGAGGGGCTGGTACAGGGGAGGGGCTGGCACAGGGGAGGAGCTGGTACAGGGGAGGAGCTGGGACAGGGGAGGGGCTTTGCACAGGGGAGGAGCTGGTACAGGGGAGGAGCTGGGACAGGGGAGGGGCTTTGCACAGGGGAGGAGCTGGTACAGGGGAGGGGCTGGTACAGGGGAGGAGCTGGTACTGGGGAGGGGCTTGGTACAGGGGAGGGGCTGGTACGGGGAGGGGCTTTGCACAGGGGAGGAGCTGGTACAGGGGAGGGGCTGGTACAGGGGAGGGGCTGGTACAGGGGAGGAGCTGGTACAGGGGAGGAGCTGGTACAGGGGAGGAGCTGGTACAGGGGAGGGGCTTTGCACAGGGGAGGAGGTGGTACAGGGGAGGGGCTGGTACAGGGGAGGGGCTGGTACAGGGGAGGAGCTGGTACAGGGGAGGAGCTGGTACAGGGGAGGGGCTTGGTACAGGGGAGGGGCTGGTACAGGGGAGGGGCTGGTACAGGGGAGGAGCTGGTACAGGGGAGGGGCCGGCACAGGGGAGGAGCTGGCACAGGGGAGGGGCTGGTACAGGGGAGGAGCTGGTACAGGGGAGGGGCTTGGTACAGGGGAGGGGCTGGCACAGGGGAGGAGCTGGTACAGGGGAGGGGCTGGCACAGGGGAGGGTCAGTTCTGAGTGATTCTGACCAGGACTTGCGTGTGGAGGGTTTGACCCCCCCAGGTTAGGACCCCAAGTTTTGCCCACGGGTCCCCCACCCCATATGCACATGGGCTGAGGTCGGAGGGCTGCCTGCCCAACGGCCTGCAATGGCTAGTGGGGTCTGTTCCACTCTTGAGCCAAGTGCTGAGGATCTGCCTAGTGGGAGAGCCTGGTGGGGAACATCCTGTCTCTGGTAAATCCACTCGGGGCTGGGTGTGACTGTATAATCGAGGTTGGTCATGAATGTTTGGAGGTTTATGTCACTGTGCTCCGTGGTTGGTCACGAATGTTCGGAGGGTTATGTCACTGTGGCTCCGTGGAACTGGCACCAAGCTCATCTCGCCTCCTCTTCTGTTGAAGAAATGATGCCCCTTTCTGGGGTCACGTTCTTAGAGTGGGCAGGGGTGGCTGCCCCTCTGACCAAAGCTCCCGTAAGCCTGGAACCTGTCCCAGAGGAGGCCTGGTCTCTCCCTGGTGCTGCAAAGTGCCAGTGTGGGGCAGGCTGGGGTCCCCCTGGCCCTGGGGGAGAGGGGGCTCCTTCTTGGCCTGGGTCCCTTGGGGTCAGAAGAGGTGGCCCCTGCCTCTACTGAGGGACTCCCCATCAGTACCCCCTAACCTGGTCAGAGGGAGCGTACTTAGGTCTCCTGTTCCACTTTCCAATTTGAACACCTATAAACCCTTTGGCCTCAGCCTCTTTCCACCAAGAGCCAGCAACAGCTGTCCTCAGGGCCTGCCTTTGGTCAGGCCACCCTGAACAAACTTCACTCAGCCACTAATGGCCTGCCGTGGCTGTGGGATTCCGCTCCTGGCCAGGACCTTGGACGGAAGCCACTGCCAACCACCCAGGTCACACTCACCACCCACCTGGCCACGCAGGATTGCCCCCTCCTCTCAGAGCCCTCGGGGCAGCCCCAGCCGGGCGTCTAGCATTTGATGATGTCCCTGACCCCATGTCCCCACCAAGCCTCCCTCTGAGGGTCCCTAAGAGAAAGCATGCTTTACGGAGACCTTGTCAAGGAGGGCTGGAGTCAGGAGGAAAGGCCTTCCCCTCAAACCAGAAACTCACCCTAGAGCCTGAAGGGCCTTAAAAACAAACAAGAAAAATGACTTTAGTTTTGCTTTGCGTTCCACAAAGAGGCAGTTATGGCACCAGAAAAGTGAAGATGTCTCTCTCCCAGAATTAAGGTTGACTCTGAAGTTTATTACATCCTAAAGGTGTCACTAAAGCCACATGGCCATTTTGCAATCCATCCAAATGATCCCCTCACCCACGGGTACCTTCAGAAGGTCCTCACACCAGGTGCCACCGTGTGGGTCTGTGGCCTCCACACCCTCTTCCCTCACACCAGATGCCACCGTGTGGGTCTGTGGCCTCCACACCCTCTTCCCCTCACACCAGGTGCCACCGTGTGGGTCTGTGGCCTCCACACCCTCTTCCCCTCACACCAGGTACCACCGTGTGGGTCTGTGGCCCCCACACCCTCTTTCCCTCACACCAGGTACCACCGTGTGGGTCTGTGGCCTCCACACCCTCTTCCCCTCACACCAGGTGCCACTGTGTCAGTCTATGGCCTGCAAACCAAGGCCCTCACAAACCAAGGGACCCACGTGGAGAGGGTCACTGTGCACGTGATATGGCCCCTCTTTGGAAGGGCTGTAGTCACCGTGAGGGGCTAAGGTTTGCTCTTGGGGCTCTGATTTTTATTTAACTGTGCACTGGGCACCGTTTTAGGGCTTAAGACACTTCCACAAGAAACAGGCTCCTGCCCTGAAGGGCGCCTCCGGTTGGGGGGCCGACGGCGATGCCATCTGCTGTAAAGAACCCTTTATGGTGGGGCGTGGGTGACGAGGCTGAGCCCAGCACTGGATGGGAGCAGCTGAGCCAGGAAGTGGCACTCAGCAGGAACTGGGGGGCTTGGTGGGAAGGGGACAGGCAGGAGGCCAGGAAAGAGCATTCCAGGTTCGAAGCCCTAGTGAGGGTGGAGCCCACCGGGAGAGGAGCAGCACGGAGGCGGTGTCAGGGGAGGCTGGTGGGAGGGAGGCACAGGGTCCAGAAGGTCCCTTGCGACCAGAAGGGGCACCCCCAAACTCCTGAGATCCATGTGTCCACCATCCCAAGGGAAACAGGCCTCCAAGCTGGCCTCAGCTTGATTGAAAAAACAAAGCAAATGAAATAAAACAAAACACTACGTGTCTCGCCCACTGGAGAGATGGAATGAGACTCATGGTGGGTGGAAGAGTTTGCTTTCAGTTGTGCTTTGGGAAGTCAGGAGAGAAAGGAGACAGCCCCACCCCAGAGGCTCATGGAAGGCCAGGTGGACAGAAGGACAAAGGAAGGCACAGGGCACCTGGCCCCAAGAGGTTTGGGTTTATCAAGATAACAGACGTCTACACAGCTCGCCCCAGGACATGGCGGAGGGAACAGAGCTATCCCCTCAAATGCCTGTGTTCCTTGGTTGTCATGACTTAACTCCACGGAGAGCTGAACCATACAGACTGATCAGAAGCTGGGCCCCAGCGACGTGGCCAGGGCCGAGGCTCAGCCTGTCGGTGTGAAGTGTTCATCACCAGCACTTTACAGACCGTGCAATGGCAGCTTTCACGGGCGGTGAGCACAGCAATCCCGACCTTATTTTCCACAAGCACCAACAGATGTTTAAAACTGGGGAGAAATTTCAAGGACTGGAACATTTCTCAGGCAGGGCCCCTGGAGCAGCTCCAGGGAGCTGCACGCCCGTGGCCTGGTGGTGTTGTCCTAAGTGCGCCCTTCACACATCAGGAATGTCAAACAGAGCTGACCTCAGCACCGCCGAGAGCCCCACTCCAAACACAGCCGTCTCCAGCAGCAGGCAGGCTCCGGGGTGTTTGTCTAATTTAAAACAAACTAGTTGGGCGGTATATTATTTCTCCAACCAAACAGGATTGAAAGCCGCATGTGCGAGGCATGACTATTGCTTCCTGCTGAAGTCCAGGCATCCCTCAAGCCTGCTCAGCACATTTAGCAAAAAGGAGATGATTGTTTCCCATCTCACTGAGAAAATAGAAGCAATCAGAAAAGAATGTCCACGTGCTCCGACCACACCATCTTCCCACCCAACTGTGCCTGGCCAGCCAGACCCACCGCCGTCCCCCACTCCAGGCTGGCCAGGAGCTCTGGTTGCCCCCTCAGTGGGGCCACCCTCAACAACAGTCATGCTGTCCCCTCTCCTGCCGGCCAGGGCCCCCCAGCTGCTGGCTGTCTCTCTGCTCTTTTTCAAGATGCCCCTCTAAGAACACAGTCTTCCTTCTCCACTTCCTCTCTTCCTGGTCTTTCCTGAGTCCTCGCTAAGCTAGATTTTACCTCCCCTATTCCACTAAACGTGCTTTTGCCGATGTTACCGGCAAAGGCTAACCCTGGCATCAGTTCTCAGCCCTCATCTTGGCTGATCGACAACACCCAACAGGAGCAGTAGAAAGCGTGTTCTTCCTGCGACTTCCGGAATGCCCGTCTCCTGCTCTTTTGATGTTCATGCCTGTATTTGCTTCCTATTGCTGCTACGGCCGATGACCACAGACTTAGTGGCTTAAAGCAACACACACTTATCATCTTATGGTTTTGGAAATCAGAAGTCCCACATGGGTTTCACTGGACTAAACCAAGGCGTCAGCAAGAGTCTCTTCTTTCTGGAGGCTCTGGGGAGAATTCACTTCCGTGCCTCTTCCAGCTTCTAGAGGTTACCTATCTTCCATGCCTCTGGGTTCCTCCCTCCACCTCTAAAGCAAACTCATCACTCTGACTTTTGCTTCCGTAGTTACATCTTCTCTGATGCTAACAGTGTTGCTTCCTTCTTGTGAGGACTTTCATGATTGCACTGGCCACCTGGTTAATCCAGGATAATCCCCCACCTCAAGACCCTTAATTTAATCACACCTGCAAACTCCCTCTTGACATATAAGGTAGTGGGGAGTGAGATGTGGACATCTTTGGGGGCCATTATCCTGCTGACTACAGTTGGCCCCTGGCTTCCAAAGACTCACAAGGATGCCACTCCACCCCAGCATCTGTGAACATCTACCTCATTACAGCATTAAGTCAAAGTCCAGAAATCTCATCTAAATTTACTTAGTTCAAGTGTCCCAAATTTCATAATGTAAATTAGGGTTGGGTTAGGGTATAATCCATCCAGATGCATAATTCTGCTCCACCTGTAAACCTGCAAAACTCAAGAAACAAATGATCTGCTGTCAGACCCAACATTAGGACAGGCATCAGTTGACAGTTATAGACATTCTCATTCAAAAAGGGAGAAAATGGAAGGAAAAAAGGAGTCCTCAGTCCCAAGCACTTTGAAAAACCAGCTAAGCAAACATTAGATTTCAAGGCCTGAGAAAATAATCCTCTGTGGGTCCCAGGTCCAACATCTGGGCTCATGGCTCCACCCTTGGAGTCATCCTTCCTTTTTCATGAAAGGTAGCACATGTTTGCCACTGAGTGGTTTTATCAGCCTGCTTCCTTCCTGCAGAATTTTGGAGAGTCCAACAGTGCTCTTTCATCTTTCATTTCATACTTTCTCTGTTCCCTTCAGTCCAAGTTGGCAGTGTTTCTGCTGATATAACATTCTCAAGAACTTTGTGGTCTCCTGTGTATGTCACACACAGGATTCACTCTATTTCACAAGAAGGTCCTCCCTAGGCCTTTCACATAGTCCTATCTCTGTCTTCTGCTGAGATGACTGAGGGGCTCCTGAGTCATTCATCTGAAGTCTTCAAAGGCTCCTCTGTGTGACTGAACACACTGACTTTTGATAGTCTCAAGGGACTGGTAGAATGTTGTCCAGCCACTGTGTTGGCTTTCTTTTCAGAGCACAGATTCATGGCACATATGCACACATACATACTGCACACACATACATACTATATACAATACAGTGGGTATACATATAGACACACTACAGCACATGCACACACACACACATTCTGCACACAATACTGCATGCATGCACATACGGCACAGCACATACATGCACACATGCTGCAGCACACACAATACTGCACACAGAGCATACAATCCTGCAAGTACACCATACACAGTATGCACACATACCACATAAACCTTATGGATACCCTGTGTATACACCAGATATGTTAAACATGCCTTGTGCACACACAGAATGCATGCAAACATATGTGCTCTGTACTCATAGAGAAACACATCCACACACACACCATACAACATGTGCACACCCACAGGAGTGATAGAGAAGCTATAATATAAACATGCAACTGTGCTCTAAGATCTTGCCTGATCATATCAGAGAAGCTACCAAGGCAGGGTTGAGAAGTGGGAGCAATGACAGGAAAGCAGACAGCAGAAATTGAAGGACCCAAAGCCAGACACAACCAGGACCAGGTGCTCCCCAGCAGTCTGGAGCATGAGCAGCATGGTGCCCAAGGTCTGGACATGGCTGTGTGGCCACATCTCACTGTATCGCCCCAGCAATGACCACATGTCCCCCACCAAGGAGGACACTTGTCCTGGGGCTGGGATGGTGACTCTGCTGAGCCCAGGGAACAGGAGCAGGCAAATTGGGGTGGGGGGTGGGGGGGTCCCAGGGTTCCTGCAGGCACTACCTCAAAGGTTACAGGAAGAGGGAGAACCAGACCAGAGAGGCCCTGCTGCACCCTTCAGGAGCAGATTGCCAGGAACATCAGGGATTCACCTGGCCCTGAGCTCAAGTCGCAGCACCTTGTGACTTCAAGCAGACTTTGTAACCCTTAAGTCTCAGCATCTTCATCCATTAAAGGGAGTTGGGGAGGCCCACCCCAGAGAGCTGCTGTGAGGACAAAATGAGGGTCTGGAAGAGTAGGCCACTGACAGATGCCCCTTCTCTTCACCCGTGTATGGTGTACTTGCAGGATTGTATGCTCTGTGTGCAGTATTGTGTGTGCTGCAGCATGTGTGCATGTATGTGCTGTGCCGTATGTGCATGCATGCAGTATTGTGTGCAGAATGTGTGTGTGTGTGCATGTGCTGTAGTGTGTCTATATGTATACCCACTGTATTGTATATAGTATGTATGTGTGTGCAGTATGTATGTGTGCATATGTGCATGAATCTGTCCCCAAACTACTCTCCTTTTTCTTCTATGGGAAAGGAACAGGAACAATGGACCAGTCATACAGCATCTCAGGGGCCCTAGCCCCCTGCTTGTTCCTCTGGGCTCTCCAGCCCAGCAAGGCCCCAGTCCTCCCTGTTGTGGGTCCCTCACGAGCTGCCAGAGGGGGCGTGGCCCCTCACGAGCTGCCAGAGGGGGCGTGGTCCCACAGCACTCTAGCCTCTGCCTCTGTGGACACATGGCCTCCTCCTCTTCTGTCTTCTAAGAATACTTATCAGTGGACTAGAGCCCACCCAGATAGACAAGAATGGTCTCCCCAACTCAATACCCTTCACTTAATTAAATCTGCAAAGACCCCTTTTCCAAATAAGGTCACAGTCCCAGGTTCTGGGAATTAGGATGTGGACATATATCTTTGAGGGTTACCCTCAGCCCACTACAGATGTTGTGTTAGGTGTTCCATATGGAAGCGTCCAGCACAAAGCAAAGATGCAAGAAGACGGCTGCAGGTGTTGCAACAGATGTGGTGGGGTTGTTTCCAGAACCTGCAAGCTCCACAGAGCAGGGACCTTCTCACCTGTGCCACCACCAAATTCCTAGCTAATTAGACTGGGGTGGCCAGAAGGATGCTTCTTGGGTCTCAGGGAGTTAAATCTAGCTCCCTTCAACTGGGGTACACAGGCCCCAGCCTTCACCTGGTCCTCTGCTCCCACCCACCTGCCCAGCATCCTCTTGTCAGATAGTGCTAGCCATGGCCCCCTTGAGGCATGGGCTGTGCAAGGTGGGGCCATGGCTGGCACTCAGTATGGGAGCAATGTCAGGTTTGGTGTCCCTGTTCCTCCACCCATCCAGAGGGAAGATGAAGGCCCGGGAAGTGGTGCCTCTCAGTGTCTCTTACAAAGCTGGCTCTTCCCAGACAGTCACCTGTTAATCTTTAGTGCTTCTCAGTGTATAGAGTTGGCTGGAAATGCCCCTCCGCCTCCCACTCATCTTCTACCCTGGCATCAAAGCTGCAGCTCCAGGGACACCGAGGAGAGGCCAGCTGGCCACAGTGTGTCAGGGCAGCCGAGCTGGCCCGCCATGCACTGTGTCCTTTCCACTGCACCACATCATCTCTGCAAAGCCAAGGGCTTCAGGAGCAGAGGGACAGGGCAACTCCTGGTGTTAACTTTGCCTCCATCCTTGAGCCATTCCTGTGGCAGGTGGCATTGTACACTCACAGTCCTTCCTTCCCTCCCAGTCCCAGCACCATGGATTGGAAATGGGACTTGCTGTGACCACTGAAGTGTGGAAGGGGACAGTGGGGGCAGTTCTGAGTACAGGTAAGTATGTGCTTCCACTTGCCCTCCTGCACGCCTGGCCTGGGAAGTGCCCCGGGGGGACCTTCTGCCTCTTCCATCAGGTCTCAAAATGAGAGCCAAGCCACACACCTGAGAGGCACCTGCAGCCTGAAGTAGATGCTGCGGCCACTACACCGACATAGGCATGAGAGACAAACAGCTTCTTCTAAACCACTGGGATTGGTGGGGCCATTTGTTACACAGCATTATTATAGCAATAGCTGACCAATAGAGAATTTGGTGTCAAAAGTAGGTGCTGCCATAATAAAACCTAAAGTATTAATATGTGGCACTGGCTGATAGACTGGGTGGTGAATAAACTACTTTAGAAAGTCGGGGAATGGCAACTTGTGACATGTAATGGTAAAAAAAAAATCACTAACATGGGCTCCTGTAATAACTTAGAAAGCAGGAAACATACCCAATGTAATCCTGGCATTGGGTGAAAAGCTTTCCAAGCAAAATGTCTCTAGAGTGAATAATCATTGCTACTGCATTTGATAAAGTACCTCAAGAAAAAGATAAGCTCAGAAAGGAAAGCCAAGCTTGCAGCAGAATTGAGAGAAAACATAGGGAGCTCAGAAATTCTAGCATTTGCAAGATTAAAAATTTAGGCTTTTTTCAGCCAATAATTAATATATTGAGGAGTATCTTGAGCTAGAAAAGCTTTTTAAGAATTAAAACTTAGCATCAGGGCACCGTGAATTCGAGTGCAGACCCCAGGCCCCACCTCAGGGCTCAGGATGACACCCCCTGATGGCCGCCTGTTCACATCCGAGGCAACTAAGAACAGAGGAGGCGACTCTCAGAGCCCCGGCATCTGGGATGTGGGCACCCTTGGCAGCCTCAGGGATTTCTGCCACCGTGGGCCTTATCTCAGTGTTTTCAGTAGTTGGAACAGCCCCATAGCAGCCGCTGAGTCTGCCATCCTGTTATGAAGGAAATACGCTGAGGGAAAGGGGGTATGAGGCTGGCGCAGACAATAAACAGAGGTGTGCCAACCGGGAAACACAACACACAGGGAGGCTGCAGTCATCACCCGCAGACACCAACATCCCTGCCCTGAACTAACCTTCCCCGCGTCTCGATTCTCTGCCAACAGCGTTTTTACTTCAAACCAGCAGAGCCAGGTCACCCGCATCAGGAAGGGCAGAAGGTCATCCAGCCTGGACCTGGGGCCCTTCACCCCCACTCCTGTGAGGAGGCCTTCTGTGGCCTCAGCCCCCAGGGCCCTGCCAAGAACCTGCCATCCTGGACATTTGCTCAGCCTGCCTGGGAAACAGAGCTCATCCTGCGTGGCCAGCAACAGAGAAGCTGGGATTTGGAGCTAGATCAGGTCTAAATCTTGGCTCTGCCACTTCCTGTGTGGCCCTGGACTTCCCTGAGTCTCGATATACATGTATGTGAACCCGAAACACAACCACTGCAATCTTGAGGTGTTGTGGAGTGGTTGAGAGGTGTGCACATTCTCTAAAAGACCACTTGAGCAATAGCTGGTTCTTTGAAAGTCTTGCTGGGACAACAGAGGAAGAGCAGGGGAAGGAGGGGGCTGACGACGAGGACGATGACAGGATTATAAGGAACCAAGACCGCTGCCGGCAAACCCCCTGCTCCATAAATGTGCAAGGCAGCACGGGTAGGAAGCGTCACACACAACCCCGGCCAGAGCCAGGCGACACGCCGAGAAACCCTAACACGACAGTGGCATTGTCGGAAACTGATTTACTTTGTTCAAAAAAAATGCGATAATCTTGGAAAACTAGCAAAATCCCAAGTGTGACTTGAAGACAAAGCACAGGCACTCCAGGGATCAAACCAAGAAGAAACACGGTGAGGGGTTTACATTCTGGAATGCATTGGAAGCAGCCCAGTTTCATCACCTCCGATGGCCAACGGCGGCACAGATGGTCTGCGTGAAGAAACACGAGCCCTGCTGTCTCGGGCGTCGGTGCCTTTGTGGCAGCACTGGCATCTCTCTTTCCTCAAAGTTTAAATTCTGTTTTGATGTCAGCAACACGTCAACACTCATATTCTAGGGAGCAAATTTCTCCTTCTGCTCCTTATGGCTAATGCAAAAGTAAACGCCAATTTACTTTTGTCTAAATTATTGAAAATTCAAGTGGAATCACATAGGATTCAGATAAATAGGATTTTCCTGTTTTTGCTGTCGTCTTCTTAAAATGGCACATAAGCTTCCCTCCCCCTCCACTCACCCCGTGACTTCCTTCTGGTCCACACCCTCCCTCAGGGCCCAGCATCTTCTCAGAGGGTGTAGAAACTCGAACTTTCACAAAACACAGAGGCCAGCCCGGCCCTGTCCTGAGCCGGTCTCATTATTTCCTGTCTGCGGACAGGCCCAGACCTCAAGGAGACTACACACTGTGAGACTGTCTTTGCCACAGGCTACCCTGGCCCAAGGTGGAGGAGCAAAGCCACCCCACAGGCCTCCCAGACATACCCCAACCGCAGCTGGAGGTGAGCGTCTCTCTGCCTGGACCTGCTGTGCTCATCAAATCGACGGCAGCCTGCACGGACCACAGGGGCTTGTGAGTTCCTGACGCTGCCCCGCCAGTTACTTTAGCCAGGGCGTTTGCCCTCCTGTGGAAGTTCAATGTCTTCATGTAAAACAAAGGCAATTGATACCTCCAGGGCCCTGGCACTCCAGCTGTCTGTCTCTGGTGACTGGACCTTCTCTGGATAGCTGCACAGGACCTGGTTCTCCGGGCCATCTGGGACCCTCTGTGCTAGGCCCTAACTTCCAGAAGGCTCAGTCACACTTATTCCCCTTCTCACACACGAGCAGTGAGTCTGTGTGCACGTGGGAGAGCTCCGCTGGGTCCTGGTGCTAAGCTCTCTGGTGGGTGCTGCAAGGTTGTCCGAGCTCTCCAGGTCGCCCCTCCAAGGTGGCTGACAAACATAAGTTCTGTCCCAACCATGGCTCCTGAGTGCCTGTTGTCTACCCCTCACCCATCCCAGCAAACAGCAGCCACTCAGCAAGCCCTTCCTGGAGGGATCCACATCCTGAAATGGCCCCCCAGTGTGGGAAAAGCCCAGAGCGCCACGCTGACACCCGGAGCCCAGGGCCGACAGTGGCAGCTTCTGCTGGGGGTCATGTGGGTCAGGGCACTGCTCCCCACCCTCAGGTGATGCCCGAATGCCCTCCAGGAATGACACAGAGGTGGCATCTGGGTGGTGGACATACACCCCCAGGTGTGGAATACAGGCCCATCCCCGCTGTACCCCCCGGGTGTGGAAAGCCAGGCCCATCCCCCCTGCACCCCCCCAGGCGTGGAAAGCCAGGCCCATCCCCCCTGCACCCCCCAGGCGTGGAAAGCCAGGCCCATCCCCCCTGCACCCCCCAGGCGTGGAAAGCCAGGCCCATCCCCCCTGCACCCCCCAGGCGTGGAAAGCCAGGCCCATCCCCCCTGCACCCCCCAGGCGTGGAAAGCCAGGCCCATCCCCCCTGCACCCCCCAGGCGTGGAAAGCCAGGCCCATCCCCCCTGCACCCCCCAGGCGTGGAAAGCCAGGCCCATCCCCCCTGCACCCCCCAGGCGTGGAAAGCCAGGCCCATCCCCCCTGCACCCCCCAGGCGTGGAAAGCCAGGCCCATCCCCCCTGCACCCCCCAGGCGTGGAAAGCCAGGCCCATCCCCCCTGCACCCCCCAGGCGTGGAAAGCCAGGCCCATCCCCCCTGCATCCCCCAGGCGTGGAAAGCCAGGCCCATCCCCCCTGCACCCCCCAGGCATGGAAAGCCAGGCCTGTTCCCCACCACCAGTGCTCACTCAGGAACTGCACACATGAGGATACCCAGCTGCCAGCTGAATCCCTCAGACAGGCCACTCAGGGAGCATCTGCTTGTCTTCAGGGATCTGCAGAGTGAGCATCTGACCCCTCCCTCCAAGAAGGGCAAAGGGTTTCTCTCTGCATGTTGGGGTGATCGAGGAAGGTAAGCTCATCAAGGAGTGAGCAGACCCGCTGGGCCAGGATGTTTGGGGCCCTGGGTGGGTGGCATCTGGTCTTTGAGGGGGAGGCTGCACATGGCTTACCAGAGCTGAACCCTTGTCATCATGGCTGGAGAGTCTCAATCAAACCCAGTGTCTCAGTGTGGCTCAGGGGAGTGAAGATGCCCTAGTGGAGGTCACCATGACCTACAACCATCAGACAAGACCAGGGGCCTCCCCAGGTTTCAGGGTTTGCAGAGCTTTTCCAACACACAAATGTCTGTAGCTGGAGGCCCCACAGACACCTCGAACTCAAGAGGGCACAAAATTGAGCCCATCGCTGACCCCTCCAATCGGCCCCCTCCAGTGACGTGAATGTCAGCCGTCGAGGACTCTTCCGGATCTCCTTCTCCCCGCCTCACACCAACCAACCCCAAGCCAGTCCCACCCCCCAAGTCCTGATTGAACGGGCTGTTTCCCCCTGGCCCAGCTCTGGCAAAGCCGCCTCTCACGGCGACCAGCTCATTCCTCTGTTCAGAGCTCTATGGTGGTCCTGGGCTCAGGGAGGCCAGACTTGTCGAGAACCCCTATTTTAATTGCCCCCAAATTTCCTCTCTAAATACCAGCTCTGGCCCCTCTGCACATCACCCGTAAGTCCCAGCCTCACAGAAACAAGAGGAGTCAAGGTTCTGGGTCCACGCAGTGTACTCACGGTGGCGGAGTGCGGGCGACCGATGCCCAGGGTTTTGAAAAATGTGCTTTGTGTGTTTTCTCTGTTGTTGTTCTTTCAGAGGGGAGTGTAAATCTACTTCTGATCCCTGTCTGGGGCAGAGGCTGTGGCTCTCGGGTGCATGAACTTCAGCTTGGCCGAGTCCTAGCCGCCAGGTGCTGCCATCCCTGCTGCCCTCACTGCCTCCAGCAGGGTCACACCAGGCAGCGCACACCTGTCTGGCAGGTATGATGGATCTGTCTGCTGCTTTAAATTCCTCTGAAAATTGCCTATTAATATCATCTGTCCATTCATCCACCGGAGTTCCTGTCTTTTTCTTATGAATTGGGGGAATTTATTGTATGTTCCTAATTAATCCCTAATTGGGTTTAGAAGTCGTGCATATCTCATCCCGACCTGTCTTGGTTACTTTTGTGGCAACATTTTTATATCATCCATGACTAAGGGGGCACCACTGAAATGAAGTGGGTGCCACCGCTGAGCTCCCCGTGCAGAGGAAGAAACTAAGGCTCAGAGATGCTGAGCGCTTGCTGCAGGTCCCCTGGCCAGTCGGGGAAGGAGGTGGGATTCACACCAGGCCCTGTGCTCTGACTTTGCCAGTCCCTGCTCTACAAGACTCAATGCCAACACCCAACGGTGAGTCCCGTGAACCCCAGGTGGCCTTCACCCCAGCTCTGTGAGGTGCCCAGAGGGAATAATCGATGGTTGTTGAATCCAAGTTTTTGCATTGTGGAAGAGGTTTTGTTTTCACTGAAATACCCAAAAGGTCAAATGCGGCAAAATCACTTAAAACTGGTCTCTTCCACGAGTAGCTCTTGCGGGAGAAAGGGAAGCTTCTGGATAAACTCAAGCCGCAGGGACTCCTGAGCCAGCTGGAAAGGCAGGCTGTGAGGAGGACATGGGGCCTGTGCAACCTGCATCCGTGCGTCAGGGCCTCACAGCCAAAACCAGCTTCTGTGTCCTGTTTTCTCCAAAGGTTGGCTCTTGAAAGCAGGGTCACCTCCTGAAAAGCCAGTGTTTTCCACCATGCCAACAAAATGAAATAAAGAGTCTGGCACTGGGGCGGGAGTCACAGGCCACCAGCCGGGGGGGCTGAGGATGTGGCCCGTGTGTTGTCAGGGAAGGCAGGCGCCAAGCACCTGGCACCAGTAGCGCCTTTGTTGGGCGCCTGGGAGATTGTTGTTTAAAACGTTTAAAATAATAATAAAAAGCGAAAGTCCTTCCAAGAGGGAGGAGAAGAAAGCTGCGCCAAGAGGAAGGTGGGAGAACATCAAGCTCATCCATCCTTATCCGTGTAAATAAAAAGAAATGTGAAGTGGTCTTTAAGCGACAGAGGAAACTGAGAATAAAAGCACTTCAGAGCTGCCTCACTGTTAGCCTTTCTCCCAGTAAAGCACCTTTCACAGAAAACAAACGGTTTGTCATCAGCTCAGGGAACAGACGGACTGGGCCGCAGCGGCCTCCTCGCAGCTCCCTCGCCTGAGGCCCTCGCAGCTCCCCTGCAGCCAGCACTGAGCCTGCGTCCCTTGAGGGCTGCCACTCTCGCTCCGTGGCCTTCTCTCTCCAGCCCTCAGCCAGGAGAGGCGGCACAGGGAGAGGAGGCAGAAGCCGGAGTTCCTGGCTCTGTCCTTGCTGTCTTTGGCTGCACACAGGTTGCTGATGGTCCTAACACACTTGCCCAACCTGCTCCGTGGAACCCTGAGGCCTGGGGGCCCCCCGGCTGTGACTGCTGTGGGGGGTGACCCGCCACGGGCATCCGTCCTGAGCCCCATGCTGCCCGGCCAGGACCTCCTGCACGGGCTCCGTTTCCCTGAGGCAGGAGCCCTCCTCTCCTCCCTGTTGGCCTCTCCTCACTCCTGGGCCTGGGCACGGAACACAGATTCTGGATCGTCACAGAGAGAAACCGATCTGGAAAGCACCAACTCAAATAGAATCACAGCAGCACGGATGCAGTGTGCCAGGCGCCGTTTTAAACCCTTTGAATGTATCCACTCATGTCATCCCCACCAAAGCTCTGTGAGGCACGGCCAGGTTCAGGGGCTGGCCCAAGGCCTGCAACCCCAGTCAGTCCCCGGGATCTGTGGCCGGAGTCGCAAAGCTGCAGCGTGTCTGGGCCCAGGTGTGGCCAGTCCTGCCACATAGGCCTGTGGGTTGGCTCCGAGTTTGTCCTCAAGTGGGTAATAAATAGCACCGTGGCCTGAAGGTCCCGAGAGGCACGTCTGGGGCAGGGGGCGAGGGACACAAGGACACCTCTTGGTCAGGTGGCCCAGGGGCACTCAGCACTTGCTCCTCCCTTGTGGCCGGCAGCAGGTGCAGATTTGACCATATGCTCCTCACAGCAGCGTCAGGTGCTGGCCAGGCCAGGGGGGCCGGGACCCGGGGGCCCAGGTCCATGGGGATGAGCCATCTCTGCCTGGTGAGGCTCCCCCAGTGATTCAGGGCCATGCTTTCGGAGGGGCCAGAGGACAGCCCGGTGCTCTGAGCAGCTGCCGCCGAGACAGGACTAACCTCTCGAGGATTTCATCAGGGAGATGCCTGTTAGTGGAATGAGCAGGAGCCGGGCCGGCAGGAAGGACAGAGCCGAGGGCCTCCCCTGGACTCCTAGGTCTTGGCCTTGCGATCAGTCTTGGCTCTGTCCCCACAGAGGAGCTGAGGCTAAAAGGCTGCCAGCTGCCCCAAAAGTGCATCCCGGCACACAAGCGGCAAGGAGGGTTGAAGCCAGAGACCTGCAGAGAAAGTGTCCCCGGGCGGCACAGCCCCTCTGTGGAGCCGTGGGCTGCAGGTTACACAGCCCGGCTCTTGTGTGTGCCACGTACCCCAGAGACGGCTTGAAACTGGCTGTGCCACCAGCTTGAAGCCACTCGCTGGCTTATGGGGCCTCACCCAGGCCTTGCCCCAGGAGGAAGAGGTGGGAGAACGGAAGGTGCCTTAGCTAGGGCTTCTCTAGCAAAACACCAAGACGATTTAATAACAACACACATTTATTTCTCACAGTTCTGGAGTTTGGAAGCTGCAGACGGTACCAGCTGAGTTGGGTTCTGGTGAGGGCCCTCTTCCTGGCTTGCAGACAGCCACCTTCTCACTGTGTCATGTGGAGGAAGAGAGGGGCATCCCTTAGGCCTCTTCTGTAAGGGCAGTAACCCCGTTCATGAGCCTCCGCCCTCATGACCCCATCACCTCCTAAAGGCTGCACCCCCAAATGCCATCACCTTGAGGGTTGATTTCAACACATGAATTTGGGGGGACACAGGCATTCAGTCCATTGCTTTCCCAGAAAACAAGCTGCAGGGGGACCTGCTGGGCGCCAGGTGGTCCTCGACACCAGCCCGGCTCCAGCAGGCTCTGCAGGCTGCGGAACAGAAGCCCACGTCCCAGGCTCCCCTGTAGGCAGGTAGCGTTGGGCCTCCCTGCTCCGTGTCCACTGTCCATGCCTGCAGCCAATTCCTAATGCCCGGGGCTCAGCTGAGGCACATCTTCCTGAGTCAGTACCCCCAGAGCTGGCTTCCAATGCCCCACCCGTGTAGGCCAATTCTGCATTGTCTCTGGGAGGGGTCTTTACCACTTCCCTCCTGCATCCAAGCCCACCTCACCTGGGAGGGGCCTGCTCCTGTGCGGGACATTGATGGATGCAAAAAAAGAAAATGGTTTTGGGGGTCTGAGGGGCTGAGGAAGCCCACCAAGCTGCTGGACACGGCACCCGAGCACCTGCTGGGCGATGTCGGAATTCTCTCTACACAACATGGACCTGACATCACCCTCTCTGCAGCTCCTGCAGCCAAAGCACAGACATGCACACCAGCCTGCTTGTGCCAGGGAACCTCGTCGGCATGGGGAGGCTGCACCCTGGAGGGGCAGGCTGGGGAAAGGGCATGGAAGGTGGGCAGAGATCGGGCCTGAAGACCCCGTTTTCCCGGACATCCCAATCTCCAGTGTCCTTGGATGTCCCCACCTCTCAGAAACTTGATTTCTGAAGATGAACTCACAGAACTCTTTTGGGCTGAAAGAAACAATGCTAGAAAACGCGTTTGTAAAATCTGCCCTGCCTGTTGCTTATGGCAGAAGGGGTAACCCTTCTTCATGTCCCATTCAGGAGCCCCACCCTGGTGCCCCAGCCTCCGCTGCTGCTGCTGCTGTTGGTAACCGTGCACAGACCTAAATGGGCTCGGGAAACCTGTCCCCATTCATCTCACACATTTCTGACTTGGACCAAACCCAAATTTCATTTGGTCAATGCCCTTCTCACCTCCTCCAGCCCCGTGTCAAGAAATGAAGCCTGACTGTTTCTGAATCATTTGCGCTTAAATCCCCCAAAAGAAGAGCGCTAAGTGGTTTCATCCCCAGAGAGACCTTGCCCAGCCTTTTCTCTGAGTGACAGGACATTCCCATCTGCTAAGATATATTAAACCCCAGCTTCTAGAAAGGCTGGAGTAGGATCTGAGGTGTTCCAAAGGCCTGAGCTTCCAACATGGTCTGAGCATCCGGAATCTATGGTGCTCCCTCAAGGGGAGGCTGGGTGAGCTTGGACAGGGCCACACACTAGGCCCCAGGGGAAAACCGCTCCCCCCCATGGTAGAGAGCTATGTGAAACCCTCCCTCTATCTCTCGGTGGTCAAGTGTATGTGAACTTGTCCTCTTCCAAAACTTCATTTGTCAATTCATAAACATGCCCTGAACTGAGACACAAACATGCCCTGAGCTTGGGCAGCGCCGGAGACACTCAGCACTCGGGAGGTTACGATCTCTGACCTGAGTGCTGGCTCTCACGGAGGGTCAGGCATCACAGTGGGCACTGAGACTGGACAGCCACAAGGAATTCTGGGCAAACAAGAGCCCCCCAGCTAACCCCTCTGGACTCCAGGCAAGCAGGATGACATCACAGCTGAAACCCAAGACCCAGAGGGGAGAGAGCTGGGGTGGGGGCAGGACCAGCGGTCTCAGACCCAGGGAGGACTGTGTGCAGCTCAGCACGCTCCGAACATGGGGATGGGGGACAAGGGGTCCCCTCCTGTCTGAGATGGGCTACCTGAGGGTGACTGTGAGGAAGGGTCCAGGTCCAGCACCGTTTCAGCCCCTCAGGTCCCACGGAAGCCCAGTGTTCTGGCACCAGGAGACTCCGAGCACAACCTGGGGCTCAGTTCTATCACTCGCGGCCCAGCCTGCTCCACACCACTACCCCTCTGAAAAATCTGTTCTGTCTTCATTTCACTCAGCGTCTGCATGCTGTGTCACCACATTTGGAATTATGCAAACTATTGTTATAAATAAATCACAGGCATCAAAAAGGGACCAAGCAGAAAATGAGCCAAACTCTGGAGCCTGCCGAGTCGCTCGTGTGCCCTGCGGTGCTGACACGGATCCCACCTAGACCTGTCTGTGCTCTCAGGCCCTGGTGCACGTTGCCCTCTGGGCAGGGGCATGGGAGGAGCAGCTGGACTCAGCCTCCAGAGCAAGGAGGGGCGAGAAGGAGAAAGGGGCCTCCTTTCAGAAATCTCTCCTCTTACCAGATGCTATTTCACCACTAGAGATTCATTCCTTTGGCTTAGATTGTGTCTCTGCATCTTCTATTAAATGCAGGCATCTGGCTGAGGAGGGCGCCAGCCTCTCTGTGGGCTTTGTTTGGGTGCCACGCCGTGGGCAGGGAAGCCAAGTGCAGAGACAGAAGTGGCCCAGGGGGTGGGAGGATGCCCAGTGGTCAGTGTGACCAGGGTGAGCACCAGCGACATCTCTGAGGCCAACAGAGACACCCCCGCCAGGTAGGAGAGAGGCACGAACAGAGAGGCAGGCAGAGCTGAGGCAACCCGTGCAGCCAGTCCTCTGGCCTTCAT
Organism: Homo sapiens; assembly: GCF_000001405.40. NCBI lineage: Eukaryota > Metazoa > Chordata > Mammalia > Primates > Hominidae > Homo > Homo sapiens. The sequence continues at coordinate 71,993 of NW_025791804.1, read as the reverse complement.
CGAAACCGGCGAGGCCACAGAGGCTCCCCAGGGACCCACGTTTGGCTGAAGGATGTTGCAGGCCCTGGGCCTGGCTGCAGAGGCATGCAGCTGCATCTTTCAGCACCCTGGGCTCATCTACAGAGTCAACAGGGAGGGATTAGGGAGGGGGCTGTTTGCAGAGGGTTTAGGGTTTCAAGTAAAGTAAACCCATGTGTGCACTGTTATGTAACCTGCTCAGCCAGCCTGCAATGCCTTCCCACACCATCCACTGGACAGTGGGGGCAGACAGACCTGGGCACCATCCCCCAGTCATCAAGACGGTAGGTGCTTGGCCCCTGATGCCTCATGAGCTGTGTTGCAGGCTGGGTCCTTCTCCAGCCTTGGTGCAAGAATATGGAGGCTGCTCGTGTTCACCGGCATTGGGTAAATACTGTACACGAGCAAAGGCCGGTGGTGTGCTGGGAGGGAGCTGTTCTCACCTATGGAACTCGCCTTTCAACACATGGAAGCCACAGTGCAGGAGTGAGGCGCAGCCAATGCCACGGAGGCAAAGCATGAGACAGGCCCCAGCTCGCAAGCCCACCTTCCTCTAGGCTGAGTGAGGCCTGTGGGCACTCGCACACACATTAAAGGAGGGCACCGAATCCCGGCCTGGGACTGGCCTCACTGTCGGGGTCTTGATGCCACACTCTGCTCAGGGGTCAGGGGAATACTGTCCAGTTGAACCTCAAGGGCCGCCTCGTCGGGGCCTCCAGGGGCCAAAAGTGAGGGTCCTCAAGCCCCCCACAGCAGCCTGACCCCCACGGGGCCTGCACAGGCTCTGGAGCCAGGGAGGGTTCACCGACGGCTGCCTAGGCCATCTGCCTCAGCCCGCTTGGGACAGAGCCTGGCATGGGGACACAGGTCAGATGAACAAAGGTCCTGTGGGCCTGCAGCCCTTGCTCCTGAGCACCGTGCCAGCCCTCCCCTCGGGAAGGGGATCACCTTTCTCTGGGCAGGACCCTGCCCCACCACCACTCAGGCTCAGATGCTGAGGTTGGCTTCTCCTGCCTCAGCACTGACAACTTTTCCTTCTTCATCTGATCCTTCACCAAGTATTTACTGAGTCCTTCACCAGACGTGGCAGCACTCTAGGTACTGGGCAGAGCGGGGAAGAGGCCAACACTGCTCACCCAGCCCTCCTCGCTGCACCCCGACCCCACTGCTGACCCAGCCCTCCTCGCTGCACCCCGACCCCACTGCTCGCCCAGCCCTCCTCACCACACTGCTGACCCCACTGCTGACCCAGCCCTCCTCGCCGCACCCCGACCCCACTGCTCACCCAGCCCTCCTCGCCGCACCCCTCACCCCACTGCTGACCCAGCCCTCCTCACCACACCCCTCACCCCACTGCTCACCCAGCCCTCCTCGCCACACTGCTGACCCCACTGCTGACCCAGCCCTCCTCGCCGCACCCCTGACCCCACTGCTGACCCAGCCCTCCTCGCCGCACTGCTGACCCCACTGCTGACCCAGCCCTCCTCGCCGCACCCCTCACCCCACTGCTGACCCAGCCCTCCTCGCCGCACCCCTCACCCCACTGCTCACCCAGCCCTCCTCGCCGCACTGCTGACCCCACTGCTCACCCAGCCCTCCTCGCCGCACCCGACCCCACTGCTCACCCAGCCCTCCTCGCCGCACCCCTTCACCCCACTGCTCACCCAGCCCTCCTCGCCACACTGCTGACCACACTGCTCACCCAGCCCTCCTCGCCGCACCCCTCACCCCACTGCTCACCCAGCCCTCCTCGCCGCACTGCTGACCCCACTGCTCACCCAGCCCTCCTCGCCGCACCCCTCACCCCAGTGCTCACCCAGCCCTCCTCGCCGCACCCGACCCCACTGCTCACCCAGCCCTCCTCGCCGCACCCCTCACCCCACTGCTGACCCAGCCCTCCTCGCCGCACCCCTCACCCCACTGCTCACCCAGCCCTCCTCGCCGCACTGCTGACCCCACTGCTGACCCAGCCCTCCTCGCCGCACCCGACCCCACTGCTCACCCAGCCCTCCTCGCCACACTGCTGACCCCACTGCTCACCCAGCCCTCCTCGCCACACTGCTGACCCCACTGCTCACCCAGCCCTCCTCGCCGCACTGCTGACCCCACTGCTCACCCAGCCCTCCTCACCACACTGCTGACCCCACTGCTGACCCAGCCCTCCTCGCCGCACCCGACCCCACTGCTCACCCAGCCCTCCTCGCCGCACCCCTCACCCCACTGCTCACCCAGCCCTCCTCGCCGCACCCCTCACCCCACTGCTCACCCAGCCCTCCTCGCCACACTGCTGACCCCACTGCTCACCCAGCCCTCCTCGCCGCACTGCTGACCCCACTGCTCACCCAGCCCTCCTCGCTGCACCCCTGACCCCCACACGGGGCACAGCCAGGTGGTGTGTTGGGGCCCGTCCCACCCCACCTAGGAGGCAGTGGTTTGGGACACATGTGCTGCCACTGCCCCCAGCATCCCCTCCTGCTCCCACTCCCACCCTGCTCTGCCTGCCCTTGGCCTGGGCTTCTCTAGACCTTTGCATCCCCAGACTGGCCCCCCATCCAACTCCAGGCTAGTCTGTCTCTGGACACCATTGGGTGCATCACTTTAGAATATGCGGTGGGCCCTAAACTAGGCTACAAGTAGGTACCAAAAATAAACAATGTACTTAATTAAAAAGAGGGGTGCAAATGAGGAGCTGGTCCCCAGGGACCGCCCTGCTTCTCCATGCCGGCTCCAACGTAAGGAACGCACCAAAAGCTCCCACCGCACACAAGGGAGGAGCCGTGTCTGCCAAGTCCACGCTCTGGCAAGGCCTGGTCTCACCATGGTCACATCCTGGCCACTGCCCACACCAAGTCCCAGGCGAGGCCCCGGCCCACACCGAGTCCCAGGCGAGGCCCCGGGCCACACCGAGTCACAGGCGAGGCCCCGCCCACACCGAGTCACAGGCGAGGCCCCGGCCGTGAGCTCCATCTGGACAAGCCAGGCTGCCCGGGCCGCCTCCAAGCACAGAGACTCTGTTCCTTGGGAGTCCAAAAATCTTTAGGCTGTGGAATTAGTTTAAAAAGATTTCAGATTGATGGGGCTACAGGAGCTTGGGAAAAGCAAATACAGTCTGTGAAGGGATGCACATTCATCTCAAACTCAAAGAATTTCCCCCAATAATTGTATAAGCAACATGAGCAGCTCACAGTGAAAAATAACTACATATACAAAGACACAAGGCACCATGAGTTAGAACTGGCAGAAAAAATAGTAAGCAAAAATCCACAAAGACTTAAAAAATGGAATTATCAGACACATATTATTTTTAGTTATCATTATGTTTAAAGAAGTAAAAGATCAACTTGAAAATACCTGCAAGTAACAGAAAACTATGAAAATGACAGATAGATTTGTTAAACAGCCAATTAAGATTTTTAGAAATCAAAAATCTAATGCACAAAATTAAAAATACATGTAGAACTTAGAAGTTGTCACTCTGTCCTAACAAGTAAACAGCTGAAAAAAATTGAAAAATCAACTCTTCTTAAATCTTTCAGAGAAATTAGGTCACAGGACAAACTGCTGCCCCCCGGCAAATTGAAGAGAAACACTGACAGATACAGAGAATCACAGCTTCCCAAGAGCAGAAACCTCCACTGGAACCAGTGCCGGCATAAGAAAACCTGGATGAAGTTGATGAATTGCGGTTCAGTGTGGACAACTTTGAGAGTTAAAAACTCGAGGGGACCCAGTTATGGGAAACACGCCTTTGTGGATTTTATCTCCAGGAGCCCTACCAGGTCCTCACAGTGAATATCAGAGAGAAATCCCCTCATGCTCTCAGCCGGGGGAGGGGGAAAGGAGTCATTTTAAAGTCTGCCAGAGCCTTCTGTTCTTAACAAGGCTGCCCCCAACAGAAACTATTCAATCAGCCTTGCCTGTTGAGGTTTTATCAGAGCCCAGACCACCTGGGAGAAGGGAAATACCGAACCCCAGGCCCTTCTAGTCATCCTGTCCAACCTTTAAGGGGGATAGAAACTGAAAAGCATTAGTGAAGTTCACAGTCCAGGACACAGGTTCAAAAGGCTGAGACCTGTTCAGAGAACTAGAGAATGCCTCTCCTGGCCCCATGTTGGACCAACACATTTCTTTTTTTTTTTTTTAGACGGAGTCTCGCTCTGTCACCCAGGCTGGAGAGTGCAGTGGCGCAATCTCGGCTCACTGCAGGCTCCGCCTCCCGGGTTCACGCCATTCTCCTACCTCAGCCTCCCAATTATCTGGGACTACAGGCGCCTGCCACCGCGCCCGGCTAATTTTTTGTATTTTTAGTAGAGACGGGGTTTCACCATGTTAGCCAGGATGGTCTCGATCTCTTGACCTCATGATCCACCCACCTGGGCCTCCCAAAGTGCTGGGATTACAGGCGTGAGCCACCACACCCAGCTTGGATCACTACATTTCTAAAGGGCCATTTACTGCAGTTTCTTTTGCCCAGTACATTATGTCTGCCTTTCAACAAAAAATTACAAGGCATACTAAAAGACAAAAGACATAGCTTGAAAAGACGGAATAGCATCAGAACCAGAGTCAGATATGGCAGGAATGTTGAAATTATCAGATCAGGAATGACAAGAACAGATGGGTAATGTAAGCAGAGATGTGGAAAATTCTGAGAAAGAATAAAGAAGAAATGCTAGAGATCAAAACCACTAGAACAGATATGAAGGATGCCTTTGATGGGTTCGTTAGCTGACTAGACATACATGGCTGTGGAAATGATTCTTAGCTTAAGGATATGACAATAGAAACTTCCCAAACCGAAAAGCAAGGAGAAAAAGGAAAAAAAAAAAACAGAATATTCAATAACTCTGGGACAACTACAAAAGGTGTAGCATATGTGTGATGGGAATACAAGAAGGAGAAGAAAGAAATTTGAAGCAATAATGACCAAGAATTTTTCCAAATTAATGTCAGACACCAAACCATAAATCCAGAAAGCTTTGAGAAGATTAAGCAGAATAAATGCCAAAAAAAAAAACTCCAAACAACCAAAAACACCACCTAGGTGTACCACATTCAAACTTTAGAGTCAAAGATAAAGTCTTGAAAAAAAGACAGAGGGAAACAATCACCTTACCTGTGGAGGAGCACGGATAAGAATCACATCTGACTTCTCCTCAGAAATTGTGTAAGCAGCTGGGCATGGTGACTCATGCCTACAATCCCAACACTTTGGGAAGCTGAGGCAAGTGGGATGCTTAAGCCCAGGAGTTCAATATCAGCCAGGGTAACATGACAGGACTCTATCTCTACAAAAAACACAAAAATTAGCCAGGTGTGGTGGTGAGCACTTGTAGTCCCAGCTACTTGGGAGGCTGAGGTGGGAGGATCACCTGAGCCCAGGGAGGTCTAGGCTGTGATGAGCTGTGGGTGCACCACTGCACTCCAGCCTGTGCAACAGGCTTTCAAAAAGAAAGAAAAAGAAAAGAGAGAGAGAGAGAGGGAGAGAGGGAGGGAGGGAGGGAGGGAAGGGAAGGGAAAGAAAGGAAGGAAGGAAGGAAGGAAGGAAGGAAGGAAGGAAGGAAGGAAGGAAGGCAGGCAGGCAGGCAGGCAGGCAGGCAGGCAGGCAGGCAGGCAGGCTGTATAAGCAAGAAGAGAGTGGAGTGAAATATTTAAAGTGCTGAGAGAAAAAAACACCAAACTAGAATTCAGTACCCTGCGAAATTATCCTTTAAAAGTGAAGGAAAAATAAAGTCTCAAACAAATAAAAATTGAGGGAATTTTTTGCCAATAGACTTCCTTACAACAAATATTAGAAGAAATTATTTAAGGAGAAGGAAAATAATGTAGGTCAGAAACTTGAAGCTACATAAAGTAAGGGAGAGCACTGGAACATGAATAAATGAAGTAAAATAAAAACTTTGTCTTTTTTTTAATTTAGCAAACAGAAAACAGTGCAAAATAATAGCGACAATGAACTGAATTATGTGTGCATCTATATGCTCACATATAAATGAAGTGAATGACAGTCATGATACAGGAAGAAAGGGTTAAGAATTAGAAATATTTTGTTATTATAAGATATTTGCACCACCCATGAAACTGTATAGTGTTATTTGAAAGTAGACTTACAGATTATTGTATAATGTATATTGCAAACTCAAGGGAAACCACACAAAAAAATTTTTAAAGAAGTACAGTTGATATGCTCAGAATGGAGAGAAAATGAAAGAATACAAAATGTTCAACTAAAACCATAAAAGGTAGAAAACGTGTGACAAAATTAGAAACAAAGATCAAGGGCAACAAATAGAAAGCAGTAAACAATATAGCAGCTATTAACCCAATTATGTTAATAATCCCTGAAATGTCAATGGTGTAAATACATCAATCAAAAGACAGATTGTCAGAGTAGATAGAAAACAATACCCAACTATATGTCATCTACAAGAAACCCACTTTCATAGAAGGACACGGATAGATTAAAAGTATAGTAAGTCTTCACTAAACGTCAGTGGTAGGTTCTTGGAAACTGTGGCTTTTTGAGTAAAGTGATGTATAACAAAACCACTTTTCCTATAGGCTAATTGATAAACACAAGAGTTAAGTTTTTTGTGACATATTTCTGGTCACAACAATATCACCAAACTTCTAAATATAGGCTCAAAATACTTATAATATTAAACATTGAAATAAATGTAAGATATACATACATTTAAGAAAGATTAAAACAAGTAAGATAATTATTTACTCAATTTTGAGGAATCATCAATGACAGTGGTCATAGTGGTGGTGGGTTAAATCAAGGAATAAATGCTTGTAAACTGAAAATTCTGAGGAGCACCTCCTACCACCACTCAATTCAAAAACAAACAGTAGCAAACATGGCAGGCTTGATGAGCACTTTTGTACCACATTATTTGTGGTCATGTATTTTTATGATTGTCATATAGTTTATGAATTGTTATTTTAAAATACTTTACTAATAATTCATTTATTTTTCAATCCACTTACTCCAGCTCAGGGTTGCAGGTGGCTGGAGCCTATCCCGGCAGCTTAGGGTGCAAGGTGGGAACCAATCCTGGACAGGACTCTTTTCCATTGCAGGGCACATTTCACACACACCCACACTCACAGTGAGACCATGGAGACACACCAGCTCTCCTAGTGTGCACATCTTTGGGGTGTGGGAAGAACTGGAATACCTAGAGAAAACCCACACAGACATGGGGAGAATGCACAAAACTTATTATCATTATAACAAAATAAAATGATGTTGAACAAAATGATGTTATTTGAAGATCTGCTGTAAATGGATGGAGAAAGATATACCATGCTAACACTAATCAAAGAAAGTGGGAGTGGCTATATTAATTTCAGACAGAGCAGACTTCAGAGCAAAGAAAGCTATCAGAGACAAAGGGAAGTATTACAGGTGATAAAGGAATCAGCACTCCAAGAAGATGTAACAATCCTTAATGTGTATGTGCCTAACAACAGAGTGCCAAATATATACGAGGTAAAAACATCACAGCACTGCAATGAGAAATAGATGAATCCAGTATTAGAGCTGGAGACTTCCACAGCCCTCTATCAGAAATGAACAGATCCAGCAGGTAGAAAATCAATAAGGACACAGATGAACTCAACAACACCATCAATCAACTGGACATAATTGACATCTAAATACTACACCCAACAACAGCAGATTGAGAATTCTTCTCAAGCTTGCATTGAATATTTACCAAGAGAGACCACATTCTGGGCCAGGAAACACATTTTAACAGATTTATAAATCAGAAATCACACAACGTTTGCTTTCCAACCACAACAGATTAAACTCAAAATCAATAACAGAAAGATAGCTGGAAAATTCCCAAATACTTGAAGATTAAACAAAACACTTTAAAAAGTACATGGGTTAAAGAAGAAATTTCAGCTGGGCATGATGGCTCACGCCTGTAATCCCAGCACTTTGGGAGGCCGAGGCGGGCGGATCATGAGGTCAGGAGATCGAGACCATCCTGGCTAACACGGTGAAATCCTGTCTCTACTAAAAATACAAAAAATTAGCCAGGTGCGGTGGTGGGCGCCTGTAGCCCCAGCTACTCAGGAGGTTGAGGCAGGAGAATGGTGTGAACCTGGGAGGCGGAGTTTGCAGTGAGCTGAGATTGTGCCACTGCACTCCAGCCTGGGCGATAGAGTGAGACTCTGTCTCAAAAAAAAAAAGAAATCTCAAGATAAATTTTAAAATATTTTGAATTAGCAGTTTAGGAGGCTGAAGCATGAGGATCATTTGAGGCCAGGAGTTTGAGATCAGCCTGGGCAACACAGCAAGACCCCCATCTCTACAAAAACATGTAAAAATTAACTGGGCACAGTTGTATGTGCCTGTAGTACCAGCTGCTCAGGAGACTGAGGCAAGAGGATGACTTGAGCCCAAGAGTGTGAAGCTGCAGTGAGCCATGATCATGCCATTGCACTCCAGCCTGGGTGACAGAGCAAGACCCTGTTTCTAAAAAGTTTTTTTAATTACATAAAAATAAAAATACAACTTATCAAAATTTATGGGAAACAGTTAAAGCAGTGCTTAGAAATTTACAGCATTGAATGCAAATATTAGAAAAGAAGATCTAACATCAGTCGTCTAAGCTTCCACCTTATGAAACTAGAAAAAGAAGAGCAAGTTAAATCCAAACTAACCATAATAAAAGAAATAATAAAATTAGAGCAGAAATCAATAAAATTGAAACCAGGAATTATAGAGAATATTAACAAAAACAAATGCTGGTTCTTTTAAAAGATGAGTAAAATTGGTAAGCCTCTGCCAGGCTAAGAAAAAAAGAGAGAGAGACAAATTACTAATATCAGAAATGAAAGGGGGACATCACTACAGATCCCATGAACATTAAAGGAATAATAAAGGAATATTTTGAAAAATGCTATGCCCACCAATTTGATAACCTAGATAAAATGGAGCAGTTCCTTGAAAGACACAATCTGCCAAAATTCACACAAGAAGAAACAAATAATCTGAATAGGCCTGTTTATATTAAAGAAATTGAATCAATAATTAATAACCTTCCAAAACAGAAAGCACCAAGCCCAGATGGGTTCATTGGTGAATTCTACCAAACATTTAAGGAAAAAATTATGCCAGTCCTCTACAATATCTCCCAGAATGTAGAAACAGCAGGAATACTTTCTAACTCATTATATGAGGCCAGCATTACCCTAATACCAAAACCAGACAAAGATATTACTACAGACAAATGTCTCTCGAGCATACATGTAAAAATCCTCAACAAAATATTAGCAAATTAAATTCAACAATATGTAAAAATAATTATATATTATGAAAAGTAGGGTTTATTCCAGGTATGCAAGGCTGGTTCAACATTTGAAAATTAGTCACATCAATAGGCTAAAGAAGAAAAATCTCATCATCATATCCATGGATGCAAAAATGCATTTGACAAAACCTAACACTTATTCGTGATTAAAAACTCTCAGCAAACTAGGAATACAGGAGAATTTTTTCAACTTGTTAAAGAGTATCTACCAAAAAACTAAAACAAACATCCTACTTAATGGTGAGAAACTCAAAGATTCAGTTGGCAGAATTCATGTTGCCCTGATAGGGGCTCTTTTGAAACTGCTGTCCTATTCTTCTTAGTGCCTCAAACTAGAGCCTGTTCAGATGTGTTATAACAAGGTAGTATGAGTTTATTTTGAAATTGAAATCTACGCATTTTTTCATAATATGCATTTTCCATGAACCTTTTGGAGACCCTCTCACATATTGTCGAGTCAGTTGTTCTAGATTAATCTGTAGATTGAACATACTCTCAATAAAAATCCCAGCAAGTTAATTTATAGACATTGACAAACTGATTCTAAGGTTTATAGAGAGAGGCAAAAGACACCATAATCAAGATACTGACATGAGAATAGGCAAATAAAGCAACAGAATAGGATAAAGTCCTGAAATAGACTCACATAATTTTGTCAACTGATCTTTGGCAAGGGAGCAAAGACGATACTGTGGCCAAAAATTGTCTTTTCAACAAATGAGGCTATAGAGCAACTGGACATCTGCATGCAGAAATTAAATCCAGACACAGACTTTACACCCATCACAAAACTAACTGAAAATGGATCATAGACCTAACGTAAAATGCGAACTATAAAACTCTTAGAAGTTAACACAGGGAAAGCCTAGATGACCTTGGGTAAGGTGATGACTTTTTAGATACAACATTAAAGGCACGATCCATGGAAGAAATGATTGATAAGCTGGGCTTCTTTGAAATTAGAAATTTCTGCTCTGTGAAAGACACTTTCAAGAAAATGAGAAGGCAAGCCACAGACACATCTGATAAAGAACTGATATCCAAAATACATGAAGAACAATCAAAACTCAACAATAAAAAAATGAACAACTTGATTTTAAAATGGGCAAGAGACCAAAACAGACACCTCATCAAAGAAGATATATAGATGGCAAGTAAGCCTATGAAAAGATGTTCAACGTCATACGCCACTAGAGATTGCAAATTAAAACAATGATACCACTCTACATCTATTAGAGTGGCCAGAATGTGTTTTGAGAACACAAAATGCTGGCCAGGATGTGTAGCAACAGGAGCTCTCGTTCACGGCTGCTGGGAACGCAAGACAGTGCAGCACCATTGAAGACAGTCTGGCCGTCTCTTCCAAAATGGAACATACCCTCCCCATAGAATCCAGCAATCGCTGTCTTTGGTATTTAGGTAAATGAACCGAAAAAGTATGTACACAGAGAAGCCTGCACACAGACGTTTATAGGAGCTTTACTCAAAATTGCCAAAGCTTGGGAACAACAAAGAGGTCCTTCAGTAGGTGAGTGGCACATCCAGACAGTGGAGTGTTATTCAGCGCTGAAAAGAAATGAGATGTCAAGCCATGAAAGAAACTCAAATGTATTACTAAGAAGCCAATCTGAAAGGGCTACGTGCTGTATGATCCCAACTATATGACATCCTGCAAAAGGCAAAACTGAGACCGTATAAAATCAGTGGTTGCCAGGAGCTGGGGGAGGGAGGGGTGACCTGGGAAGCGCAGAGGGTTTCAGGGCAGTGAGGCTGTTCTGTGACACTACCACGGTGGCTACACGTCATGATAAATTTGTCCACGCTTAGAATGGACAACACCAAGAGTAAATCCTGATGTAAACCACGGAGTTGGGTCACGATGCTGTGTCGCTGTAGGTTCATTCACTGTAGCAAATGTACCCTCTGATGGGAAATATTGATAAGGGGAGGTTGTATGCCTGTGTGGGGGTGTGATATGAGAAACCTGTGTAACTTCTATCCAATTTTGCTGTGAACCTAAAATTGTTCTAAAAATTAAAGGTTACTTACTAAAAACCAAGTAATCTCAGATGATCTCATATTAAGATCTCTTATTAAGATTACATCTGCAAAGACCCTTTTCCCAAATATGGTGACATTCAAATTCAGAGGCTAGGAGGCAAACGTTTCTTTTGCGGGGGCCACCACTGAGCAAACCTACCACGGAAAACAAAGTAAGAAGAAGAAATTGTCCAACTCTCCAAATCTCATTATTCCAAATGAACCATTAGTGATATTTTAACCTATTTCCTTTGTCTTTTTCCTATATATTTTAAGATGGAGGGAAAGTCTATATATAATTTTACATAATAGATTTTAATCAACTTTATGAGAACATAATTTATACACAATACAAAGCACAGACCTTTAGTGCAGTTTGATGAGTTTTGACAAGCGTGTGCACTGCTCACCAGCACCCCATCAGCATCTGGAATCTTCTTCCCCTCCTGGAAGTCACTCTCCCCTGCTCTGTCCTTGAGAGCCGCTGATGGATTTTCCCATCATGCTCTTCCTTCGATATGGCCACAGGCATCCCCGTGATCTTCAGACCCCCTCCTCCATGTGACTTACGTGCTACATCACAGTCCGCCATTCATTCTTTCAACAATTATATGATTCTGAGAGGCACTGGGGGATTTGCTTAACCACTGCTCTGATGTTGACTATTTAAATGTGCCCTAACTTCCCTGATTATGAACAATGCTGTGAGAACGTGTTTGGGCGCTGAGTTTTGTCCACTCCCTTGTCTCTGGGATGGCTCGTCCAGGGTGGAACACACAGGTCGAAGGTGTGAACTTCCTGGAGCACGCTGGCCGACGCCCCCCCAGGCTGTGGTGCCTGTCGGTCTCGGTGGCCACACCTCGCAGGTTCAGGGCCTGTTTCGCAAATGCCAGGGCCGTACTGTTTTGTTTTGTATTTCTTGGATTACTGGTGAGACCATGTTTTTCATGTTTTTAGCCACCTGGGTTCTCATAGCTCTGAACTATCTGTTTATGGCCTCTGCCCATCTCTCTGTTGGGAAAAAAAAATTGTGTTCTCTGGGGACAGTAACTCAGGGTCTCTGGAAAGGGGCCTCTCTCTGGGCTGTACCAGTCATGAGTGGAGCAATGTCCCCCCGAGGCCCGGAGAAGCCTGTTCCTGCCGGACGGCACCAGGGCCTGAGCACCCTCACCCCCCTCAGGAGCCTGTGATCGGTCCCCCAATTTAACGCTGAGGCAACGGCCATTGGTTCTGTTTCCCAGGGGCCGCCCATTTAGAATGACATCCTGGCTACAGCATCGACCTTGAGCTGCAAAGCAAACAAGGAGAATATGCAAATTTGCTGTCAATACAGGGATGGGAATGCTGAGAACTGCACTCATTTTTAAGCCGAAAGTCCAATATTTGGATACCAAGATTCTGTTCCCAGTCATAAGCCAGCATAACAACCACGTGGAAACCATTTGTGCTGGATGATAGATTGTAAACAGCTGGTGGGATCAGGCCTTCGCAGCCCCAAAAACTGCAAATCAAAAATCCACATGTTTAATAAACAGACGATGAATCACAATGAGAAGGGAAGGGAGATGGGGAGAGGGCTGGGCCTCCGGTGCTGAGCTGGCGGGATGCGGTGGGCGTGAGCCTCGCCCCAGGCACAGGACACCAGACACTTGGGTCAGACATGATTCCCAGGCGTGGGGCCACAGCCTGGACCCAGAGGAACACTGCAGCCACAAATCCATCTCAAAACATGTAAATCTGGGGCAACCCCTCCAACAGAGGCCAAAACCATGGAGAGCAGTTTTGTCAACACTGGGGAGGGGGAGGATACACAGTAGGCCTGGAAGTGTCTGGACCCAGCCCTGGTGCACAGTGGTGCTTAAGGTCAGCACCTGGCGTGGGGCAGCTGTCACTGAGGTCTGAAAAAGACGCTGAAGCTGGTGGTATCTGGGAGGCTGGAGCTTAGGACAGCTCAGGAAAGCCCCCCGAGATCTGTGTGCCCAGAAGAGGCAGGGGAAACAGGGAAACCTCAGGGGATCCCAGGACAACCGTGACAAACCTGGGCCAGGGTTGGGGCAGCCGTAAGGCCCTGATGTGAGAAGAAAGCCTCCGGCAGGACCGGCAGCTTCGGCTGAATCCTAGCTCAGCCACTGTCCAGCTGCGGGCCACAGCAGGGAGAGCTGCCCCTGCGATCGGGGACGCCTTGGCCACTCTGGCCAGCACTGGCTTGGGCCTGCACAGATACGCACCTGTCAGTCACCAGACCCTGCATGGCCGGCATTCCCAGTCAAGAGCCTCTGGTCCTCCACACCACCTTCCCTGGGCCCCAGCCCACGCCAGCCCCCTTCCTTCAATCCCACAGCCTCCTGCCACCCTCACAACCACCCCTCCTGTCTCTGCTCAGCCCCCTTCTCCGTTTAGGCCCGCCCTCCCCCACATGCCCCAGGCAGCATCTCCCCCAACCTGAAGACTTCAAGGCACATTGAGAAAGAAAAGGCCACAGCAAAGTGGACGGGGCACTGACAGTCATGAAAGCCGAGGTGAGAAGAGTTCCTAGAAGAAGAAAGAGTGAAGAAAGTTTACAGATAACACAGGTGAAAAGCTGCAGGGGTCTGTTGGCAGTCTGGGGGAGAGCAGAGCCAGCAGCAGAGCCAGCAGCAGGAGCTAGATAGAGGGACTGGTTAGGGTGAGGTGAAAGCAGACATATGAGGGGGTGTCTCACTCAAGGCACACCGGAGGCATGGGAAGCCCCACAGAGGAGAGAAGCTCAGGCAGTCTTGGAGGGACAGGGAAGGCCTCTGAAGCTGAAGAGAGGAATCAACTCAGACAGGGGCTGAGCACCCAGGAGTGAGGCCTGAGGGCCAGTGTCAGGAGCACCGGCAGAAGGTTCGGGGACAGAAGGAGACATACGGAGAAGGGGACCAGGAGTGCAAGTCCTGTGGAACACTGTGGAGAGAAGTCCCATGTTAATGTCCTTGGTTTTCCTGGATGTCAAGGAGATGGTGAGGTCCTTGCTCAGAGTGAGGGGTAGCTTTTGGGTAGAGGGTGCAAGGATTTAGGGAAGCAGTTAGCTAGGAGACGCAAATGACTGAAGAGTTATCAAGTAATTGAGTGTCAGTGGTTCAGACAAGATTAGAGATGGTGTGTATAATAATTAAAATGCTAAACTCTTAGATGAACTAAGCAGCAGAGTGGGCAAAAATAAAAAGAGAATTATTGAACTTGAAGATAGATCTAAATAAGTTACCCAGAATGCAGAACAGACACTCAGTGAGAAGGAATATAGTAACGTGAAATGAAGAAACATGAAGAAAAGACTCCCACTTTTGGCTACAACAGAGTATCTGGTATGAGACTATCCCTCCTACCACAAACATTATAAACTGGAGGAAAAAAATAGGAAACATTTGTTCTAAGACAATAGACAACAGACAGAGCTGTGATCTCCGAGACAAAGACAGCAAGCAAGGTGAACCCTACGACACCGCGGCGTTCTTCCTGGAGGCGCTTTCTGGCCCCAGCACAGGGAGAGGAGCTCAAGGAGAGCAAAACAGTTTAACTGAGCTCGGAAGACAGGTGCCAGAGCTCAGAGAGGCCAAGGCTCCTGAAAAGTATGGGCGAAGTACCAGAGATGGAAAAACCATGTGGAGAAAGAACCCCAGAAATCTACATGGTGGTCCTGGTGGTCCCCTTGTGCCTTTGGCTGAACATTAAGCCGCACATATGGGAGACCCCGTGCGGGCAGGCAAAGAGCACTTAGTGGGAGCTGTCATCTGAACGACGCCCAGAGCCCCACAGGCTAGGAGATGCGGTCTGACCAATCACAGCAAACAGACCTTGGCAAGACGCGACGATAAGAAATACTGCTGAGTTATTACCAGAAACAAGGAAAGGCAGAACCCAATGGCAGAACACCTGTAATAGAAGGTTCTGGGGAAAAAATACAACAGTCAACATAGAATCCAAGACTCAGCAAAAATCTTTCAAAAATGAGGTGATAAAATTATAGCATTTTCAGACAAACAAAAATTGAGAGCACTTGTCACCAGCAGATGTACAAGACAAGAGATGGAAGTGTTCTTTATGCTGAAGGAAAATGATTCCAGAGAGGAACTGGGTCTGTTCCGAGTAACGAGGAACACTGGCACCAGTAAATATGTGGCAAATACAAAAGCCCCTTTTCTCATTTTTAATGTCTTTGTCATAAATGTGTCTCTTTAAAGCAAAAATAATCACAATTTATTATGGAGAATTATAACACATATAGAAGTAGATGTATGACAATAATAGCAAAAAGGATTTCAGGGAGAAAATGGAAGCATACTATTGAAGAGTCTTACATTATAAGTCAAGTAGTATAGTAGCATTTAAAGGAAATGTTATTAAATTACAGAGGCGTGCCTTAAACCCTAAAGAAAGCACTAAAAGCATTAAAGAAAGAGGCATAGCTGATGAGCCAACAGAAGAGATAAGACGGAAAAATACTCAGTATACCCAAAGAAAAAAAAAGCGGAAAAGAAAAAAGGAGGAATAAACAATAAATGAAACAATAAGATGGAAGACTCAGTCCCAACTTTCAGTAATTATATTAAATGAAAATGGACCAAATACTCCCATTAAAAACGCAGAGAGATTGGGCCGTGCACGGTGGCTCATGCCTGTAATCCCAGCACTTTGGGAGGCTGAGGCGGGCAGATCACCTGAGGTCAGGAGTTCAAGATCAGCCTGACCAACATGACCCTGTCTCTACTAAAAATACAAAAAAATTAGCTGGGCGTGGTGGTGGACACCTATAGTCCCAGCTACTTGGGAGGCTGAGGGTAGGAGAATCGTTTGAACTCGGGAGGCGGAGGTTGCAGTGAGCCAAGATTGCACCACTGCACTCCAGCCTGGGTGACAAGAGCGAAACTCTGTCTCAAAACAAAAAAAAAAAAAAAAAAGGCAGAGATTGGTCTAGACACTGCCATAAACCAAGAAATGAAATGAAAGTCATACAGATTGGAAAAGAAGTTAACTGTCTTTATTCATAGGTAACATGATTCTATTCATACACAATCCTAAAATATGTATCTAAGAAAACTACTAAAACGAGTAAGTGAACTTAACAAGGTCACGGAATATAAAACTATACAAAAATTAGCTGTATTTCTGTATATCAGCACAATTGGAAAATGAAAATAAGTAACAAACAAAAACAAATATTTACAAAAGCATCCAGAAGCATGATATACTTAGGGATAAATTTAACAAAATGTGTGTGGGGCCTGTATACCAAAAACTATAAAACATTGCTGAGAGAAATTAAGAAGAACTAAATTAATGGAAAGACATACCACGTTTATGGCTTAGAAGACTCAATATTGTTAAGATGTCTTTTCTTTCAAATTCATCTATAGATTAGACTCAATCCCTATCAAAATCCTAGCAGGCATTTGTTTTTGTAAAAATTGATTCTAAAACAGATTCTAAAATTTATATGGGAAGGCAAAGGACCTGGGATAGCCAAAACAATTTTGAAAAAGAACAAATTTGGAGGATTTACACTACTTAATTTCAATACATACAATAAAGCAGCAAATAGTAGAGTACTAGTGTTAGGATAAGCATGTAGATCACAGAACAGCACAGAGAGTCCAGAAACAGACCTATATATATATATATTCTCCTACCCCAGCCTCCCAAGTAGCTGGGACTACAGGTGTCCACCACCACACCATGTTGGTCAGGCTGGTCTCGAACTCCTGACCTCAGGTGATCTGCCCACCTCAGGCTCCCAAAGTGCTGGGATTATAGGCGTGAGCCACTGTGCACAGCCCAATATATATATGTGTATATATATGTATATATGTATATATGTGTATATGTGTATATATATGTATATATACGTATATATGTATATATACGTATATATACATACAGCCAATTTTATACAGTGCCAAGGTAATTCAATGTGGAAAGGACAGTCTCAAGTCTTACCTCATACCATACGTAAAAATTCAGTCAAAAGGGATCATGGAGCTAAAAGTTAAAGTTAAAACCATGAAACTACTAAAAGACAACATAGGAGAAAATCTTTGTGACTTTGGTGTTCGCAAAGGTTTTTTAGCAGGACACAAATCATCAAGTGAAAAGAAAATGTTAATAAATTATACTTCAAAATTAAAAGCCTTTGTTTTTCAAAAAGAACTATTAAGAAAATTTTTAAAAAGACAGACTGAAGAGAATATTTGCAATACATGTATCGGACAAAGGACCTGTACCCAGAATATATACAGAACACTTGCAATTCAAAATAATTTTTATTGCCTGTAATCCCAGCTACTCGGGAGGCTGAGGCACGAGAATCGCCTGAACCCGAGAGGCGGAGGTTGCAGCGAGCCGAGATCGCACCATTGCACTCCAGCCTGGGCGACAGAGGGACACTCCATCTCAAAAAATAAACAAATACATAATTTTTATAAGCAACTCAATTCAACAAATGAGCAAAATATATAGAAAGTTTACAAAAGACGTATGAATGACCAATAAACACATGAAATAGGGACCAGTATCTTTAGTTATCAGGGAGGTGAAAATTAGCCTCAATGAGACACCACTCCACACCCACCAACGTGGCTAAAATTTAAACTACTGGTAAAATCAAGAGTTGCCAAGGATGAGGAGCAGTGGGAACTCTCTCCTCTGGTGGAGCATGAATCCATAACCACTCAGAAAGACGGTTTGGCGTTACCGACAAAAGTTGAACAGACACACACTCTGACTCAGCAATCACAGCCCTAGATACACACCCAGCGGAAACGCGTATGTTCACCCAGCCATGGCAGCATATTCAAAATGGCCATAAACTAAGCAACCCAAATAGCCATCAACAATCGAACAGACAGGTATAGTGTAGCCTATTCACACAATGGGCTGCGGCATGAGAACAAGGGGTTCCACTCACATACGTTAAAACAACATGCAAGACCGGCAGAGGTAGGGACCATCCTGACCTCGGGGAGGAGGAAAAGTATCATAAGTGGAATTGTCAGGACGTCCATGGCTCACTCTCTCCTTTCCTTTGAGTTTTGCTCAGATGCCTACTTCTCATTGAGCCTCCCTGACAATTCCATCTAAACAGCAGCTGCCACTCACTGTCATGCTCGATTACCATTGTCCAGAGAACCTTCCATCACAAAGTCTGTCTCTCTCCAACATAGACATAACTGCATTTGAATGGGCTTCAAGAAGGCAGATGCTTTTGTCAGTGACACTTTTCTTGACACACAGTAGGTGTTTGATTACTGGAGCGAGTGAGTCACTGAAGGGCAAGGCAGGAGAGTTTCCCAGGAGCACGCTGAGACCAACAACCAAGCCACAGGGTTGGCATGTGGGGGCAGTGGTGCAGGGACAGGCATGCGGCCAGTGGAGCCGACCACAGAGCCCAGAAACAGCCCGGCACACAGAGAAGGCCTGGGCCCGACAGAGGTGAGGTGCAGGCCTGCGCACGGTGCCAGGGACTGGCCACGCACATTAGGAAAGCGAAACTGGATCCCTATCTTCAACCAAACACAAGGAAATTGCTTCCAGATGGATGAGGACTTGTGATGGGGGCAAGATGATGGAAGTAAAAGCTACAGGAGAATATCTCCCACACTCGAGGCCAGGAAGGGTTTGTTCAGATACAAACGAGGAAAATTGTGAAAGACAAGGCTGACGCACGTCCTACGTCCAAATCTACCATCAGAAGACAAAAGACAAGGGCAAAGGCAGGGCATGAACTGGGAGGAAACATCTGCAGCACACACAGCTGATGAGGTTCATGTCGGGAGCCACAGGGAGCCGTGACTCAGAAAGCGAGAGGTGGCCCCGCCGGAGGGCACAGGCAGGCACTCTCGGGGATGCGTGAGGATGGCAAGTTCTACTTACAGTCAGGGAAACTCAAAGTAAACCGCAAGCAAGGCCACTTTATACTCACCAGATTCCCAAACAGAAAGAGCCGGGATGGGGCCAAGGGCTGCTGTGAGCACCGGAGGAACCTCTGCCTGGGACTGGCGGTGGGCACCTACCCGCTGGCTCAGGTCTGAGCTGGGGCAGGGCCAGGTGAGGGAACAATGGAAGGTTGGCTCAACTTCCGTTTCACGTGGGCTCTCACACCCGGGGTCAATACAACCACCGGATGCCTTCCTGAGGAGGTCCAGGGTCTGTGGGAAGTGGGACCAGCAACAACCCCACTGTCACCCGGGGTCTCAGGGTCTATGGGGAGGTGGAGCTGGGGACCCCACTGTCACCCAGGGTCTGAGGATCTGTGGGAGGTGGAGCTGGGGACCCCCCTGTCATATGAGGTCTGAGGGTCTATGGGGAGGTGGAGCTGGGGACCCCCTGTCATATGAGGTCTGAGGGTCTATGGGGAGGTGGAGCTGGGGACCCCACTGTCACTGGGGGTCTGGGGGTCTGTCAGGAGTAGAGCTGGGAACCCCACTGTCACCTGAGGTCTGAGGGTGTGTAGGGAGTAGAGCCAGGGACCCCACTCTCACCCAGGGTCTGAGGGTATGTGGGAGGTGGAGCTGGGATGTTCCAGGCTTTCTAACCTGCTCTCCCATGGAAGTACTGAGCTGGGGCCCTGGAACAGGTGCCTGGGAACTTGGTGAGCTCCTGGGGGCTGAGAGTTTCTCGGCTGGGAGAGGTTTTTCTTGTGAAGGAGGTCAGGGCTTGACTGGGAAATGGCGGCAGCCTCAGGACAGGCCGAGTGGTGCAGGAAGACAAGAATCATCTTTCACAACAGAGCGGGAGTGGGATTTTAACAAACCATCCCCTTGTCCCCAGAGCGGGGGGGCATCCCGGGGCCCAGAATTGTCCCCTTCCTGGGTGGTCCCACCCTCCCAGGCCCAGGGCTCTGTGGGAGCAGCGGAGAAAAGCCCAGGAGACTTGGCTGGTGACTCTCTGAGAACAAGTTCCTGGATTGGGTCCCAGAGGCCCTGGAAGGCCCCTTCCCACCCCACACATATCATGAGGGGTGCAGGGGACCCACGGGGACCCCACTCGGACCCAAGCTGGGGCCCTTCCTGACCCACAGCCCCCACTTTACTTGGGGAGCAGTGAGGGCCGTGACGGGAAGGCCTGAGGCAGCTGCTGGGGAGTTTCTTGGGTGGAAGAGTCTTTTCTTATGAAGGAGATGGACAGCTCGACTGGGAAGGGGGCGTGGGGACAGTAAACGGGGGACGTAGAGTGGGGCTCCCCTGCTCCCCACTGTGGGGAGGGACAGGCGCCAGGCGTGCAGGGAGGACCCTTGAAAAGGGCAGACGCCAAGGCCAGATCCCGCTTCGCCCCCCAAGGGCACTGGCAAAGGTCGTCTCAGCCTCGTTTCCTCACCCCCTCTCGAGGGCAAGGTCCCTTCGGCCTGCAGGATTCTGGGGTTCCCAAGTTCCCCGACTGACAGACCAGCCACGGTGGTGACAGCAAGGTCTCCCTGCCGCCCCTTGCCACAGGAATGCCTCGTGCCTCAGGAGGCGGTGGCCCCCACAGCCTCAAATCCCGGCCAAATCAGACATCCGGGAAGGAGGCAGGACAAGGGGGTCCTGCCTGTCACCCCGAGACGTCACCGGCGCCAGGGGCTGGCCTCCATGGTGTCACACCTGCAGCATAGGTTGGGGGGGCTCCCTCCCCCCAGCGGGGCAGGAGGCAGGCAGCACCGACGTCCCCACACAGCTGTAACCCGGGCACCAGGGCCAGCGGCTCTCACACATGCTCCTGAGTATTTAATAATATCAGGTATTTAATCATAAGCTCACAGAACTGCCCACAGGACTAAGCCCAGAATCCAGAGCCTGAGCAGGGGCCAAAGGAAGCAGCAGCCCCAAATTAACAAGAAGTGGTGAGAAAATAGGGAACAGAGAAACTGCGGGTGGGGCCGACATTTGTCCTCCCAGTGAGCCTTCCGCAGCGACACTTTTGGAAAGTGATGGTGGCGTGGCCGGGCACGAGGCCAGCGGAGCGGACACGACAGCTGCTCATAGACGGGGTTTGGCTTTGACGTTTTTTAAATCCCTCGTTCTCGGCCACAGTGGAAAAAGTCTCTTTTCAGTGAAGTATCCCGGGTGCCAAAGCACCCGGCCATGAGGTGGCGGAGCTCAGGCAGCTGATGGGTGAACGGGGGATGCCTGGCCACGGACGGGGACCACAGGCCGCCCCCACGGTGTCAGGTCCTCACTAGGTTCCGTCCAAGCCTGAGATCCGAGGCCAGGCTCGAGTCCCCACACCCGTGGCCTTTCGGGGACGGGGGCCTGAGGGGTAGCCCCTCGCCCGGGGCCGACTGTCCCCCCCCGAGGATGCGCGCGGCCCCCGCCTCAACCCGGACACCGCGGTGGGCCGTGAAGCCGCCGGACTGGGGCCTTCCCTTTGCCAGACGCGGTGCCTCCAGCCCACGGTGTTGCCGCCCACGGGCGCCTCCTGACCCCGAATGCCCTGCTGGGGACGCCCTCCCCATTCTCGGCCCATCTCCACGGCCAGCCTGGCTGCGGCAGGAAGGGTTCCTCACTCGACCCTGTGCCTCTCCCTGTGAGCGGAGCCCCACGGCCGCCCTGCTCCGAGCTCTGTGCCCCGAGCGACCCCTCTCTACCGGGCCCCATCGGCCTGCCTTGCACGCGTGGGTCTCCTGCCTGGTTCGAGCCTGAGGCCTGGGGCCCTGGACCATCTCCCTCTCCTGCCCCCAGGCAGCGTCCGCTGTCACTCCGTGAGTTCGCGACCCCTCTCTACCGGGCCCCATCGGCCTGCGTTGCACGCGTGGGTCTCCTGCCTGGTTCAAGCCTGAGGCCCTGGACCATCTCCCTCTCCTGCCCCCAGACAGCGTCCGCTGTCACCCCGTGAGTTCGCGACCCCTCTCTACCGGGCCCCATCTGCCTGTCTTGCACGCGTGGGTCTCCTGCCTGGTTCGAGCCTGAGGCCTGGGGCCCTGGACCATCTCCCTCTCCTGCCCCCAGGCAGCGTCAGCTGTCACCCCGTGAGTTCGCTCCAGGTGTCTTCTCCCACGGCCCGTCCCGGGCTCCCCTTGCTCCCCGTCCTTTCTGGCTGCTGGGACCCTTTGTGCGTCCTCAGCCTCTGTTCCCACTGAGATTTCCCGACCAGAACTCCGGCCCAGCAGCACATTCACCTCCTCGGGCACTTTACCAGCAGGGCTGCCTGAGTCCAGGGCAGCCCAAAGCGGGCAGCGGGGGGACACCCAGGACCAGGACAGAGGCTCCGGCCCTGGGACCCAGGCCAGAGAGAGACGCAGCTGACCTCACAGTCGCCTGCTTCCTACACCCGAGTTTTCTCTGGGGTAGAGGGTGTGCGGACGGTCCTTGGCCGCCTGTGGGGGAAGGCGGCAGACGCATCCTCCCCTTGACCCTGCAGGGCCCAGAGCCCCAGCTGCCCATGGGAGGGTGAGGTTCCGTTTTCGCCAAGGTCACCAGCTCCTTCTGCCCACTGTCTCCCTGCCACCCGCAGTTCCTGCATAAAATCCCCAGCATGTTCCAGCAACAAGGCTGGTGGCTGTGCAGACAGCAGGGGAGGGTTTGAACTTCGTGCCGATCTCACTCCCTGGTTCCCAACAATTTGAGGAATGTTGGAGGTCCGGGTCAGAATGTAAACAAGGAATCATCACAGAACGGGCCCAGGTCAGTGAACCTCACACTGAGCTGCAGGGAGCCCCCGATGCCTGACGACGTCGATGTGTCTTTGGTCTCATGAAAATACACAGCTCAACTTTTGCACACGGAAGCCTGTGTCTTAAGCCAACGGCTTTCAGATTCCAGAAACACTGCACATGATTGTTCCCGTTGTATTTTCCCTCCTCGCCCTGTGGGCTGGGTGAGCGCCTCGGGGCTGCTGTCTTGGTGTGTGAAGTTCAACAGTGTGCTGTGGCGACTTCCTTCACTGCCGGCCCAGAAGGGAGCTCGGACGCCCAGAGCTGCACACCCACCACGTCTGTCCTGGCGAGAACAGCGGCTCAGCCTCGACCGCAGAGGCCGGCAGACCGACAGCTTTGAAGGGGGCTGCGCCGAGGAACAGGCCTCATTGAAGAAACAACACAGAGCATCACACGAAGGTCCACGGGGAGGGAAAGAAGGAGTTTGGTAGGAAGACATGCCACAGAAAGCAGGGATTATGAGGAGACTTGATGATTCTGCCATAAGAAACAAAAGCTCCAACAGAGAAACATGCATATGGGGGTGCAAAAAGCTGGGTTGACGTCCAGCTGGGTGTGGGGGCTCACGCCTGTAATCCCAGCCCTTTGGGAGGCGGAGGCAGGAGGATCGCTTCAGGCACAGCCCGAGCAACACAGCAAGACCTTGTCTCTGCAAAAAGTAAAAATAAAACATAAACAAATTTAACCAGACATGAGGGAGTGCACCTGTAGTCCTACCTACCCGGGAAGCTGAGATGGGAGGATCACTTGAGCCCAGGAGGTCGAGGCTACAGTGAGCTGATTGCACCACTGCACTCCAACCTGGGTGGCAGGCTGCGATCCTGTTTAAAAAACAAAACAAAACAAAAAGAAAAACGGAAAAAGAAAGCCAGACTGAGGATGGCGGGAGGGAATACGAGCTTGCACTGCACATTTCATGCACTTCATGCTGTTTTCATTTTCTTAACATGATTACATATTATTTATAGAAAAATGAATACGAGAGAAGCAATGCAGTGTGGAAAGGGCCTAGACTTGCACGGATGCTGCTGTGTGGATGAGGCCATCCCTGCGGACCGTGGCCTATCCCAGACATGGTCTCCCAGGCCACAAGGTGAGGGCTGCAGTGACTGTCTTCAAAGTCATCTTCTGAACCTCCATGGCACCAGGTCCCTGTGCAGCCACAGCCATCCCCACCTTCCCTGTTCTGAGAGAAACACTCCCTTCTGTTGCCTTCAGGTTGAAGGGGGCCCCTGCTCCTGGGAGCCTGGGGTTGGGAGCTGGGCTGCACCCACTCTGTCTGAGGACAATGTGTCATACTCTTATCATCCTCCTTGATGTCTACAGGAGGGATTGTCCTAAACCACAGCAATGGAGTTCACAGGAGAGAAGGAAGGGAGTAAAGTAGATTCCAGAACAAAGGGAATGGTTCTGTAAGGCAGCTCCAGGAGAAACGAGGCAGAACCCAAGCTCTCAAGGTCTTAGGATTTCGTGGCAGTCTGTTGAGGGGCACAGAGCTACACCAAGCGGGTTCCACCACGGTCCTTGAAGGGGGCGGTCGCGGGCCATTTGGTCCCAGGGGCTCTGTTCGGCTCACACCTAGACTTCCCTGGGCACAGGCCTGAGAGGACGCCCGTGCACCCCATCTGAGTTCCTCTGAGTCTCTGGAGCTGGGCCACCAGCAGGGAAGGAGAGACCCTGAAATGGAGCCAGAAAGTCCCAGCATGAGACGCTGCTCCACCAGGGGAGGGAGGACTGAGCAGGACATGAGACCAGGAGGCCCGTGGAGAGTGAGCCTGGAAAACCACGAGGCTCCTCACAGCTCCATCATCGCACATGGGCCTGTGGGGAGCCCTGACTCATGCTGGAGATACCATGAGGAGCAGCTGCGGTGAGGAGTGGAGGTGGCCCTGGTGGAGGATGCACTGGCTGGCTGCGTCAGGCTGCTCTTGCATACATACCTGAGGCTGTGTAATTTATAAGAGAAAAGGTTTAACTGGCTCATGGTTCTGCAGGCTGTACAGGAAGCATGGCACCTGCATCTGCTTCTGGGGAGGCCTCAGGAATTTGCAGTCATGGCAGGAGGTGAGGGGGGAGCAGGCATCCCACATGTCAGGAGTGGGAGCAAGGGGGAGGGAGGTGCCACACTTCTACACAACCAGATCCATGAGAACTCACTCACTATGGCAAGGACAGCACCAAGCTATGAGGACAGGGCTGGACAGGCCTGCCGGTGATGGCCATGTTGGGGTGTGCCTTCAGCACTGAGCAAGACTCCGGCGGCTTGTCACAGAGCCAGCAAGACCCCCGAAAATCTTCTGCGGCAGCTCTGAAAGCTTGGAGTACCCGAAAACTCAATGCCCAGACAAGATCCACATTCCTTGTTTCTAAACTAAAGCACAACTTCTGCTCTTGCAAAAGGAATGAGATGAGCTCTGCAGGCGAGGCCTCCTAACAGGCCATTAGCATCTCCCATATTTGGGGAGTTTTTGTCCCTCTGTTTATGACTAATTAGTGTAGATAGGAACAAAAATGTTAACAAGGAGCACAAAAGCCAAAGCCTGCATGGTTCCAGCCAATCAGCACAGTTGGCGGGTGTGTTTCCAGGCCAGACGCATCTGTAATGAGATTGTACTTGATTCAGATACCATTTTCTGTGTGGCTCTTTAAGGGACAGGAAAGTGGAAAAGCAAAGCTATGAGGACCAGTCGGTGGCCCTTTCCCAGGTCTGACTGGCCCTCTTACTCCCATGCTAGGAGCTGGAGTCAGCAAGGGTGCACTGGGCCCCACGTCCAGCGTGCCTCAGGGCCAGCACAGGACAAAGGCACAGAACACCTGAGTGGCAACTGGCCCTGGCCCGTACCCGGGCTCCTGACCCAGGCCCCTCCTGCACCCTCACCTGGCACCAACTCCCGGCTCGTGCCCCCAACAGTGACCATCCCGTCACCCACACTCCAGCCGCAGCCCCCTCCAATCCTCATTCTGTGCAGGAAGCAGGGTGGAGGGCAGCCCTGTGTTGAAGCATCTGGACGTCAGCACTGCTGAGCATTTGTCTGTATGTGGTGGGGAGGATGCCTCTGTGACACGACCACACCCCAGTCCAGAGAGATGCTTGGGGCTTTCCTGTCCAGACCACGGGGGGAGTTTGCCAAACTCCTGGTAGACCCAGAGTCAAGGAAGGCGAACACAGACAAGAAGCTAACATTTACTGAGCCCCTTTCTAGTGCTAGCCACTGTGCTGCGGGGGTCACCATGTCATCACGTGTGACTGGGAAGCCTGAGTCAGATGAGCAACCACAGGGGATGCTGGGGGTCAAACAACAGGGCCCAGGGCGAGGGCTGGGA
Organism: Homo sapiens; assembly: GCF_000001405.40. Taxonomy (NCBI): domain Eukaryota; kingdom Metazoa; phylum Chordata; class Mammalia; order Primates; family Hominidae; genus Homo; species Homo sapiens. The sequence goes on along the minus strand of NW_025791804.1, from coordinate 45,635 downwards.
TGTGAAATAAAAATCTGTTTACCCCTCCCGTCCTTTTACAGTGGGGTAAAAAGATGGGGCACAAGTGACTAAAACCAGGAGAGACTAAAACCAAGAAGGGAGAATCACTATGGATCCTGCACATGTTAAAAGGGTTATAAAACAATAATATTAACAACTTTATGCCAGTAAATTAGACATCTTACATGAGATGGACAAATTCGAAGAAATACACAAATTACCAAATCTGACTCAAGAAGACAGAGTATGTGAATAGACTTATAAATAGTAAAGACATTGAATAATTAAAATCATCCTATAAGGAAAAGCCAGATGGCTTCATTGGTGAATTCTAGCAAATATTAACAAAAGAAATAATACCAATCCTTTACAAACTGTTCAAGAAAACAGAGGAGGAAAGAAATACCTGTCAATTCACCTGATGAGATCAGTATTGTCCTTACATCCTAGCCAAAGACATCACAAGAAAAGCAAAGCACAGCCCCATATCTGTCATGAATATAGATACAAAAATCCTTAACAAAATATTAACAAAGGAGGATTTATATCCAAACATTGGTTTAACATCCAATACTTAACTAATGGAATACAGTAACCACAGAATAAAGAACAAAAACCACATGATTATCTCAATAGACTCAGAAAAAGCATTTGAAAATATCCAACACTCTTTCATAATAAAATATCTCCACAAACTACAAATGGAAAAGAAAATTCCTCAATTTGACAAAGGGCATCTGGGTAAAACCTATAGCTAACATAATACCTAATGGTGAAAGATTGATTAAAATGTTTTCCTCTAAGATCAAGAATGAGGACAGTATGCCCACCCTCATCACCTCTATTCAACATTGTACTTGAGGTTCTAGCCAATGCAGCAAGGTAACCAATAAAATGAAGGCATCTGTATTGCTAAAAAGAGAAGTAAAGCTCTTTGCAGTTATCTTTTTGCACAAAATTCTAAGAAATCCACCAAAAGTACAACTGAAACTAAGAAACAAGTTTAGCCAGATGACAGGATACACAATTTCAAAAATCAACTATATTTCTACATGCCATCAATTGTAGCTCTATAATAGCCATGAGTAGGAAAATTAAGAAAATAATTCTATTCATAGTAGCATCAAAATGTGAAAAAAGGTAAGTTAAATTTAACAAAGCAAGTACAAAACTTGCTGAGAGACTTTAAAGAAGATCTGAATAAATGGAGAGACAGCCAATGTCCATGGATTCAATGTTGTTAAATAGCTATTCTCCCCACATCAGTCTGCAAACTCAATATGATCCATGCTGAAATCCCAGCAGGCTCTTTTTGCAGAAAATAACAAGACAGTCCTAAAATTTATATGAAACTGCAAAGGATCCAGAATACCAAAACAATTTGGAATAGAAAAACAAAGTTGTAAGACTTACATTTCCTAATTTCAACCCTTACTACAAAGCCACAGTAATCAAGACAGTGTGGAAACGGTATTAAGAATGGACTTATAGATTAATGGAACAGAACTGAGAGCCCAGAAATAAATCCTTACATTTACAGTAAACTGATTTTCAACAAAGGTACCAAGGCAGTTCAATGGGGAAAATGATAGTCTTTTAACAAATAATGCTGGGAAAACTGGATGTCCAGATGCAAGAAAGGTGGATATAGAACCTTTCCTCACACCATACACACAAAATAACTCAAAAGGTATCATAGACCTTGATGTGGTTTGGGCATGTCCCCACCCAAATCTCAAATTGTAGCTCCCATAGTTCCAACCTGTCATGGGAGGGACCTGGTGGAAGGTGACTGAATCATGAGGGTGAGTCTTTCCCATGCTGTTCTTACGACGGTGAATAAGTCTCACAAGATCTGATACATGGGAGTTCCCTGAACGAGCTCTCTCTTGTCTGCTGCCATGTAAGACGTGCCTTTTGCCTTCCACCATGATTGTGAGGCTGCCCCAGCCAAATAGAACTGAGTCCATTAAACTTCTTTCTCTTTATAAATTACCCAGTCTCAGGTATGTCTATATCAGCAGTGTGAAAATGGACTAATACAGACTGAAACATAATAGCTAAATCTCCACAACTTTTAAAAGAAAATACAGGAAAAAAAATCTTTGTGACCTTATATTAGACAAGAAATCTTAGATGCCACACCAAAACCACAATCCTTAAGTTACAATCAGAAAATTAACAGAATCAGTGCCAAGGGGATGGGCAAAGTAACCCTAACAGGGACATCATTAATATGTAGAAGCTGGGGGCACCCACCTCCAACACAGGGACGTGCCTCCCACACAGGTCAGAATCCTGTGTCTGGGGCCAAAATGTCCCCACTCTCAAGCAATGCTAGAGACACGAGCCAGATTCGGTCTCCCTGGGCTCCGCTTTTATAAGATGCAATGCGGGCCACTCAGCCGCGAAACATCTTCTCTTCAGACAGAGCACAGTGAAGTTACTGAGATAAGCACTTCCATATCAGCCTGTATGAGGCAAGTCACCCCACAGTCTGGAGGTTCAAAGACAATCACCAAGGCTGTTTCTTCAGATGGCTTATGTCTTATATTTGGATTTGGATTTATTCCTTAAATCCATTTTTAAGGTCACTTTTGGGCCACTGTGTACAACATCCATGAGGTGGCTTGTCCCCTCCTCCCCCTAGGTGGACCCAGCCTGAGGCTGGCCAGAGTGTCCCCCTCGAATGCCCCCCACAGGGCCCAGCCTTCCTCCACATGGAGTTCCTCCAGCAGGTACGCCAGTGGCATAAAGCAAAGAGCTGAGTGACAGCTCAGACACAAAGGCTGCTCCCCACATCTCTCAGGGCCTTTGTTCCCAATCTCCCTGTCAGGTCCAGTGAACCTTGAGACACAGCACCTGGCACAGTGTCCAGGGCCTCCCCCAGTCCCCCGAATGCACATAAAGGATTCTAGGACCTGTTGAGAGTTAGCAATAACTCAGCCTTTACACGTAACAGGAGTGATAATAGAGGGCTTCTGTGGTGAATCGGGGGGGCAGAAGCTTAGGCTTTTCCTAAACCAAGCAAATGGCTAAGAGAGCAAATTCCAGAGTAGGCGTAACTTTGACTGGTGGAGCAGTGGGCGGTGTATTTCTGATGGATAACAGCCCACAGCATCACTTACCCAGTGCAACTGCAGAGGAAGGGCTGGTTCTACATCTCCTGGGACCACCGCGTGCTGGAGCAGAGGCTGCAGGGTGGAGCCCAGAGTTCCTCTGTGTCCCTGTATAAGATGCGTGAGCACCGCAGGCAGCATCCCTGGGGACTAGGCTTGGCATGGGCTGCTCCTCTGGTCACTGAGCCCCACAAAGGCTGCAGGCAGCACAGCCCTGGCATCCGTCCACTCTCCTAAATGACTGCAGCCTTGCCTCCTGGGTGTCTTTGCTTCTCAGTTTTATGTCACTGGAGGTAGCCAGTCAAGGATGGTTAGGCATGGCCTGTGTCAGACTTTGCAGATTATGCCTCCTCCGTGCTCACAGAAGCTGGGTGTGGACGGGGCAGAGCCTCCAGCAGTGTTTGCTGATAGCCAAAGTCAGAAACACCAGAGTCGCCAGCTGAAGTTCCCAGGCCTCTTCTAATCAAGGAAGAGAGAGACTATAACCCAAAGTGTCTGGGAGTGTGGATGGTGCCTGCCCTCCACAGCCTGACTCACTCAGCCCTCTGGCCCCCACAGAGTTCTGAGATCCACCAAGAGCCTCATAGCTGCCCAGGGCCAGGAGTGGCTTTTCCTGGCCTCCTGGCAGGAGGCTGCAGACTGTTCCTGAACCACTCTGCCGCGAAGGGAGCGGAGCAGAGGCTGTAAGGTGGGGCCCAGGGGCACGTTTCCAAGGTGCCCCGCTGCCTTCCTGCTGAGCTGTTTCTGGCAGAGAGGGTGTTACAGAGCAAGAGAGGACACAGCTGCACTTCATAAGCCCAGCAAGCACCATCACCAGCTCCTTGAGTATCACGTGCAGGGGTTTGGAAACAGGAGTAAGCTCTTCTTCTTTTAATTAAAAACAGAGACGAAAACTTTTTAAATACATACAACACACACTTAGGACCTGTTAAGATGAGGAATAAGGAAAAGGAAAAAAGAAAAGATTAAGTGGAGAGAGAAAGAGAGAAAATAGGCAGGGTGGGGAAAGGGAGACTGAAGAAAGAATGAGAGATTTCTAAAAACACAGAGAAATTGGGAGGCGCACCTGCTTTCGAGTAAGTGTGAACAAGCGAGTCTTCTCAGCTCTCCGTGATGCCCGGCTTCCCCATCATCTGAAAGGTTTACACCAGCAGATGGTCACATATCCTTAGCAGACACCCCAGTTCCCCAGATTATCTGAGCTGTGGCCAAATTCAAATCCAACTAGCTTTTATCAAGCACCTCATATGCAAAGTTTTTAAAAGATAATTCTGCCTAGGCCAGCCCCTCACAGATTCTGTGTGAGGACGTCTAGGGTGGGAGGAGACAGCATTCTTAGGAGTTCCAAAGTGGACTGTGACGTGCACAGACTGAGGACTGCCTGGCAGTAAACTCACATGTGCCGTCCGTTTACGAGACCCAAAGCTGCTCTGTGAGGCAGGTGCCCTTATGCAGATGGGAAAACTGTTCCTCAGATTAGAAGACATCACATTGTAGACCAGACAAATCCAAGGTCTACAGCAGATATGCTCAACTCCGGGGTGGAGCCACACGTGACCTTTAGGGGTATCTAACCCATCAGAATTCAATGGGAAATTGTGGTTTTCTGAGAAGGGAATCTGGGGCTTTTTCTTTTAATTTTCTTTTTAAAATTTCCCTTTATATGCACATGTATGTAAGCTTCGGGAACTGTGTATACATCATTATATCATGATACTGTTCAGGATTTTAGTGACGTCCATTTTGCTTCCTCTTCCATTTTTGCTTCCCGATCCAACTTTCCCTCCACCATGCCAACCCCAACCCCTTCCAGGTCACCTGGGCTAACAACCAATTGTATGCCCTTCCATGCTCGTCTTCATGTTTATATAAACCACGTACAAATACATAGTGGCTTGCCTAGAGAGCGAACAGAGAGGCCTTCCATCACTGTAGGGGACAGTATCATATCACTGACATGTTTAGAATGTATGCTGATGACAAAAAGCAGGCCAACTTCTAGCCATTTTTACTATCGTTTTTAAACACTTTACAATTTATCCAATTATGGTCAACACCTGGGAGAGACTGACCCACCTTCCCCCTTGGCGTGCCACTCAAATATAAACACACACACACACACACAAAGATAGACAAATATATTAGATTTTGTCATCCTATTTTTGTAAAACTATTTTTTACCCCTTCTGTGTCAACTGACATAGTCCTAACTCATGCTTTTTAATGGGAGCTTAATAGTACATATCTATGTCGTGGATGTACTATTATTTTTCAACCATTCTCCCATTGGTAGGATTTATATTGCTTGCAGTTTTTATTTTGTTTTCATTCTTGAATAATATTTTCTCCTGATACAGAACACCGGGTTGACAGTTTTTTGTTTTGTTCTCCCAGCACTTTAAACATAGCATTCCACTGTTTTCTGGCCGCCATTGTCTCTGAGGAGAAGTTAGTGGTTGTTCTATCATTGTCCCCTGGCTGCTTTCAAAATTTTCTCTTTACATTTTGTTTTCGGCAGTTTGACTATGATGAAGCTAGGTGTGATTTTATTTTTTAATTGACAAATAATAATAGTGTATATTTATGGGGTCAATGTAATGTTTTGGTACATGTATACATTGTGGAATGATCAAATCACACTAAATAGTATAGTCATCACCTCAAATATTTATCATTTCTTTGTGTTGAGAACATTTAAAATCCTCCCTTTTACTATTTGCAAATGTATAATACATGATTGTCAACTCTGGCCACCATGCCGTACAACAGAACACCAGAACACACTCCTGCTAACTGCAACTTTGCACCATTGACAAGTATCTCCCCTTCCTCATCCACATTCTCCTCATACCCAGCCCCACCCAGCCTCTGGTAACCACCAGTCTACTCTCTACTTCTATGAGTTTGACTTTTTAAAAATTCCACATATAAGTAAGATCATACAGTATTTTCTCTCTCCATACCTGGCTTATTTCACTTAACTTAATGTCCTCCAGATGTATTCATGTTATTACAAGTGACAGAATTTCCTGTTTTTTAAGGCTAAATAGTATTCCATTGTGTATGTATACCACATTTTAAAAATCCGTTCACCTGTTGATGGACACTTCGGTTGTTTCCATATCTTGGCTATTGTGAATAACATGGCAATGAACATGGGAACGCAGATGCCTCTTCCACAAATGATTTCAATTCCTTTGGGTGTATACCTAGTAGCAGAGTTGCTGAATCAAATAAGTCTAGTTTTAGTTTTTTTTACTAACCTCCATACTGTTTTCCAAAATGGCTATACTAATTTACAATACCACCAACAGTGTACCAGGGTTCCCTTTTCTTCACATCTTAGCCAACACTTATCTTTTATCTTGTTTATCATAGCCAATCTAACAGGTATGAGGAGATATCTCACTGTGGTTTTAACTTGCATTTCTCTAATGATTAGAAATGTTGAGCATTTTTTCATGTATCTGTTGGCCATTTGTATGTCTTCTTTTGAGAAATGTCTATTGAAGTCCCTTGCTTTTAATAGGGTTTTTATTTTTGTTATTAAGTAATTTGAGTTCTTTATATATTTTGAAAAGTAGCCCCTTATGCAATATACAATTTGCAAATATTTTTTCTCAGTCTGTGGGTTGCAGCTTCACTCTATTAATTGTTTTCTTTGTGGTGAAGATGCTTTTTAGTTTCATGTAATTCCATTTGTCTGTTTTTGCTTTCATTGCCTGAGCCTTTGGGGTCATATCCAATAAATCACTGCCCTTATAATGTCATGGAGCCTTTTCCCTATATTTTCTTCTAGTAGTTTGATAGTTTCAGGTCTTCCAGTTACATCTTTAATCCATTTTGTGTTGATTCTGGTAAAGATGTGAGATACGGGTTCACTCTCATTCTTCTATACATGGATACAGTTTTCTCAACACCATTTATTGAACAGACTGCCTTTCCCCATTGGGTGTTCTTGGCATCTTTGTTGAAAGAAAGCTATTTCTTTGTTTGTTGGACTGTTTTGTTTTTAAGCTATTGGTTTTTATACAGCTATTTTGTATCCAGCCACCTAACCAAATTCTTCATTAATTTTAGCAGTTTGTTATTAGTATCTCTTGGGTTTTCCAGATATACATTCATGTCATCAGCACAAAAGAGGTAGTTTTATGTTTCCTTTTCCAATTGTATACCACACATTTCGTTTTGTTTTCTTATGTTGCATTTTCTATAATCTCCAACACAATGTTAAATAATAGTAATTAAGGCATCCCTGTCTAGCTCCTAAATTTAACTGAAAGGGGGTTTGTTGGTTGGTTTTTGTTACATTTAAGTAGTCTCGTTCTGTTCCCATTTTACTTAGAGTTTTTTTTTTTTCTAATTAGGAATGGCTGTTAAGTTGTATTATGTGTCTTTTCAACATATATTGATATGATGATTTAAGTCTTTACAAATTATTGATGTGACGCTTTTGTTGATAATCCATTATTGAACCACCCTAACCCATTCCCAGAATAAACCTAACTTGATCAGAGTACACGTGATCGGCAGCTTCTGAAGTGGCTCCTAATGATCCCACCTCCTGGTATTCACTCCCTTTTGTTCTCTCCCCTTGTGCGTGGGCTGAGCCTAGTGACTTGCTTCTAACAAATAGATTATAACAAAAGTGATGAATGTCACTTCTGAGATTAGGTTATAAAAGACTGAGACTTCCATCCTAGACTCTCTCCTGCTTACAGGTACACACTCTCAGTCTCAGCCTCTTCCGCCCTTTCATGTTGATGAAGCCTGCTGCTGTGCTGTGAGCCACCCTCAGGAGAGCCTCCAGCAAACAGCCAGCGAGGGCCCGCGGCCCTCAGGCGAAGCCTCCAGCAAACAGCCAGCCAGGACCCACGGCCCTCAGGAGAACAGCCAGCCAGGACCCGCGGCCCTCAGGAGAACAGCCAGCCAGGACCCGCGGCCCTCAGGAGAACAGCCAGCCAGGACCCGTGGCCCTCAGGAGAACAGCCAGTGAGGACCCGCGGCCCTCAGGAGAAGCCTCCAGCAAACAGCCAGCCAGGACCCACGGCCCTCAGGAGAACAGCCAGCCAGGACCCGTGGCCCTCAGGAGAACAGCCAGTGAGGACCCGCGGCCCTCAGGAGAAGCCTCCAGCAAACAGCCAGTCAGGACCCGCGGCCCTCAGGCGAACAGCCAGCCAGGACCCGCGGCCCTCAGGCGAAGCCTCCAGCAAACAGCCAGCCAGGACCCACGGCCCTCAGGCAGCCAGCCAGGACCCGCGGCCCTCAGGAGAACAGCCAGCCAGGACCCGCGGCCCTCAGGAGAACAGCCAGCCAGGACCCGCGGCCCTCAGGAGAACAGCCAGCCAGGACCCGCGGCCCTCAGGAGAACAGCCAGCCAGGACCCGCGGCCCTCAGGAGAACAGCCAGCCAGGACCCGCGGCCCTCAGGAGAACAGCCAGTGAGGACCCGCGGCCCTCAGGAGAAGCCTCCAGCAAACAGCCAGTCGGGACCCGCGGCCCTCAGGAGAACAGCCTTGGGGAACCCCAACAACCCCTGCCAAGCCACTGAGCGAGCTCGTAAGCAACTTCTGCCCCAGTTGAGCCTTGAGATGACTGCAGTCTCAGCTGATTCCTGACAGCCTTGAGGGAGACCCTACACTGCAGAGCTCATGCCACGATTCCTGACCCACAGATACCAGGAGATAACCATCTACTGTTTAACCCACTAAGGTTTAGGGCAATTTGTCACACAACAAACATGAATACAGTGTATTCTATTTTTGATACAGGACTGAATTTTATTTTCGAATATCTCATTTGGAAGCAATGCATCTGTATTCATAAAATAAAGTGGGGTATAGAAATGCTCTAGATTGTCTGCAGCAGACTTTCATATTGAACTAATTAATAAGCTCATAAAATTAAGTTAGAAAAACTTGAATAACAATGGACTTAAAATTCAGCTGAGGCCAGGCATCGTGGCTCATACCTGTAACCTCAGCACTTTGGGAGGCCAAAGTGGGAAGACTGTTTGAGCCCAGGAATTCAAGACCACCCTGGGCCATATAGTGAGACCCTGTCTCTATAAAATAAAAAAATTAAAAATTTTAATGTAATTAAAACAAAATTAAAAATTAAAAAAATCAGCTGAGAAGACATCTAATCTTGATGTAATTTCTTCACAGCTCATAAGCCTGCATAGGCTGGGTGGGTGTGTTGAAGTCCTGAGGAGCAGGGTGGGGTCTACATCTGCAAACTGCTGTAAATTTCCCACCCAGTCCACGGCTGCCATTCTGGGTTCCAGCCCAGAGCTTTGAGCAGCCCCTCTCTATCTGAGTCTTCTGAAAACTTGGGATTCAAGGACCACGGTCATGAGGTGAGGTAGAGAGTGCCATCCTGGAAGAACAGAATAGAGCTTGTTAGAACCTGCTGCTGAAACTCAGACGAGCCACTTTATTCCAGACTTCAGTTTCCTCGTGTTCAAAAGGAAAAGGTTGGGTTTCTAAGATCCTGTCGTGCCTTAAGAGTCCCTGAATCTTCAAGATAATTAAACAGAAAACAAGGGCCTCAAGGGGTGATATAATTGGCGTTTTTGTCCCTGCCCAAATCTCATGTTGAATTGTAATCCCCAGTATTGAAGGCAGGGTCTGGTGGAGGCGACTGGATCATGGGGGTGGATTTCTCATGAATGGTTTAGCAGCACCTTGTGCTGTCCTCAAGAGGCTGAGTTCTCAGAGACCTGGCTGTTTTATGTGGCTAGCACCTCCTGCTCTCTCTTTCTCCTCCTTCACCTTCTGCCCAGACTGTAAGCTTCTGGAGGCCTCCCCGGAAGCTGTACAGTTGCTGGCACCATGGTGCCTATAAAGCCTGCAGAACCGTGAGCCAATTAAACCTCTTTTCTTTATAAATTACCCAGCCTCAAGTATTTCTTTAAAGCAAGGCAAGAATGACCTGAGACAAGGGTGGAACTATTGTTACCTATGCTGACGTCTACTTGTCTATATAGTTTCCAGCGATTGACCCTTCAATATTGAAATTTAAGGCTGCCCAGTTCACCATCAGGGTGATAATGGCCAGACACCGAAAGGTTCACAATTGTTACCTATGCTGACGTCTACTTGTCTATATAGTTTCCAGTGATTGACCCTTCAATATTGAAATTTAAGGCTGCCCAGTTCACCATCAGGGTGATAATGGCCAGACACCGAAAGGTTCACATCCCAGTTCAGAGGCTGTGGCAGGAGACAGAGCTGGAACCTTTCACAGAGTCGTCCCCACGACAAGGTGTTCATCATGGCGATAGGAGTTCTTAGCAAGATCTCAGCAGAGTCACCAGGTGCATTTCCTGAAGGTGGAAGCAAAATCCCAGGACTAGGAACCCCCAAAAATGAACACAGTCTTTTTACAGGATGATCAGAGGCAAATGTCTGTGATAAGGACTTGTCCTGGCTGCACTGAGGTGCTCATCCTTGCCAATGCCTGTCCAGGAAGCGTCTCTACAATGAGATGCACTAACAGGAGACGCTGGGGTCAGGCTCCAACGGACACATCCGGCTGCCCCAGCACCGTGCATGTGGCTGGTGCCCGACAAGCATGAGTGGGTGGATGGACGGGCATGGTCTCCCTGCATCTCTCTGAGTGGGCACAACCCAGTTGTTCCTCAGTCTTTGGAATCTGGGACAGAAAGCTGTATCCTTCCTTCCCCCACTCCGAGAGTAGGCATCTTAGTTCCCAGGACACCCACAATCCCCAGAAACCCCTCGAAGAGCCCCGGGGGTCCTTACACATCCTTCAGCGCTCAGGGCCTTCGGTTCTTTATGTGTTTACTTATTTTTCTTTCAATGGTTTTAGCTTTTTTTTATTATTAAAACAGTGAACTGGCATGAGGCGCAACGTTAAGAGAACATTTGTTCTGAGAAGAGGTTGAAGTCCTTTTCCTCCACCCCCTGACTGAAAGAAACAGACCATCTCCCTCCTTGTGACACCTGCCCCCGTAACAAGCCACCCACCGCGTCCCAAGATGAAGAGGTCACACTAAAGTTGGCCTGAAAAGGAAGGCTAAGCACCTTTTTGAAAAGTAACTGAACTGGAAAGTTCAGAAGAGGCCAAGGCCACAATTTGCCACCCTTTCCCCCACGCATGGCAGCGTCAGCCCAGCCCACAGCCCCGGAGCCCCGGTCTCCACACGTGACCATGCTACACGAAAACCCAGATCAGGACCCGGTCTTGGGAGCCCGGTCGCGCCGCCCCTGCCCATCAGGGATCTTTCACTTTAGTGCTGGGGCGTCCTCTGCCTGGTCTCTTCCCCTTTCGCTTTCCTGCTTGTTTTTCCTTCATAATCCATTCAGTCCCTCAGGACCTTCCCCCGGGTATTAATGAAGCGTGTGTTGATGGGGTGACCTGTTCCACCGGGGAAGAGCTGGAATACAGGGGAGTCACTAAGACGAAATTGTACTCTGCAAGGTTACGAGGAGGGCTCTGCAGCCTGAGACAGCTGAGTCGCAAGCACTCCTGAGCTTCAGTTGCTGCCTCTAGAAATCAGGGGCAGTCACAGTTCTCACCTATACAGTGATTCTCATCTGTGTGGTTTTTGGTACAGCAGCAGCCGTACTCACTGCACCAAGCACTCAGTAGTCAACAAGCGTGTAAATTAGGAGGCTTTTGTTTATAATTTATTATCAATAAGTTATGAAGTTAAATTTTATGGTGACCAGGGATCTTGATGGGGCCTGTGGACGATCTCTCGGGAGCAGAGAGCTGGTGTGCTTGCTGCAGCCCCCAGCTCTGAGACCCCCGGCCTTGCCAGAGCAGCTGGCGGGGATGAGTCATCCCTGGGTGCGTTTGAATGGACCTGCATACCCTACTTGGGCAACCCAGTCTCCTCCTCACCTGTGGCCAGTGACGCCGGCTCTTCCTCCCCTCGGGTGCAGGAGGCCTGGAGGTGACACCGGCTCTTCCCTCCTCTCGGGCGCAGGAGGCCTGGAGGTGACGCCGGCTCTTCCCTCCCATGTCTCTGCCCTGCTGGTCACAGCTCCTCCCTGGCAGAATCCAGTCACAGTTCTCTTGTGCAGGAATAGTTTCACTGTTTTTAAAAATTGCACTTTCATCTATCACAGGAATGAGAAAAACCTCTTTCTGCAGTTCTTGGATGTGCAGAGAGCAACACACACGTTTAATCACCAAGAAACCCCGTGGGTCTAATAACAGTAGATTGAAGGGTGCAGGCCAGGGTGAGGGCAGGTGGGTCTAATGACAGTAGATTGAACTGCCAGGGTGGGGGCAGGTGAAGCTGATCTGCAGACAGACATGCAGGGAGGGATCCTGCGTCCTCTCCCAGAGCCCTGCCCCGCGGCCCGGCATGGGAGGGCTTCCACCACCACGGATGCTCCATGCCCAACACATGTCTGCATGACCATCCCTCACTGCCAGGTTGTCACACCCATGTGGAGGCCAGTAACCCACCCGCCCTCAGCCCTAGGGGTGAGTCAGTGACCCCCCAGCATCCAGCAGCCCACCTGACACGGATGCTCACACAGCCGCCCTGAGCGTCGCCCGGCACACAGCACTCTGACACGGATGCCCACACGGCCGCCCTGAGCGTTGCCCGGCACACAGCACTCTGACACGGATGCCCACACGGCCGCCCTGAGAGTCGCCCGGCACACAGCACTCTGACACGGATGCCCGCACGGCTGCCCTGACTGTCGCCCGGCACACAGCACTCTGACACGGATGCCCGCACGGCTGCCCTGAGAGTCGCCCGGCACACAGAACGCTGACACGGATGCCCACACGGCCGCCCTGAGAGTCGCCCGGCACACAGCACTCTGACACGGATGCCCAGACGGCCGCCCTGAGCGTCGCCCGGCACACAGCACTCTGACACAGATGCCCGCACAGCCGCCCTGAGCATCGCCCGGCACACAGCACTCTGACACGGATGCCCGCACGGCTGCCCTGACTGTCGCCCGGCACACAGCACTCTGACATGGATGCCTGCACGGCCGCCCTGAGCGTCGCCCGGCACACAGCACTCTGACATGGATGCCCGCACGGCCGCCCTGAGCTCCGCCCGGCACACAGCACTCTGACACGGATGCCCGCACGGTTGCCCTGAGCGTCGCCCGGCACACAGCACTCTGACACGGATGCCCGCACAGCCGCCCTGAGCATCGCCCGGCACACAGCACTCTGACATGGATGCCCGCAGGGCCGCCCTGAGCTTCGTCCGGCACACAGCACTCTGACACGGATGCCCGCACAGCCGCCCTGAGCATCGCCCGGCACACAGCACTCTGACACGGATGCCCGCAGGGCCGCCCTGAGCTTCGTCCGGCACACAGCACTCTGACACGGATGCCCGCAGGGCCGCCCTGAGCGTCGCCCGGCACACAGCACTCTGACACGGATGCCCGCACGGTTGCCCTGAGCGTCGCCCGGCACACAGCACTCTGACACGGATGCCCGCACGGCTGCCCTGACTGTCGCCCGGCACACAGCACTCTGACACGGATGCCTGCACGGTTGCCCTGAGCGTCGCCCGGCACACAGCACTCTGACATGGATGCCCGCACGGCCGCCCTGAGCATCGCCTGGCACACAGAACGCTAACACGGATGCCCAGACGGCCGCCCTGAGCGTCGCCCGGCACACAGCACTCTGACACAGATGCCCGCACAGCCGCCCTGAGCGTCGCCCGGCACACAGCACTCTGACACGGATGCCCGCAGGGCCGCCCTGAGCTTCGTCCGGCACACAGCACTCTGACACAGATGCCCGCAGGGCCGCCCTGAGCTCCGCCCGGCACACAGCACTCTGACATGGATGCCCGCACGGCCGCCCTGAGCGTCGCCCGGCACACAGCACTCTGACACGGATGCCCGCACGGCTGCCCTGACTGTCGCCCGGCACACAGCACTCTGACATGGATGCCCGCACGGCCGCCCTGAGCATCGCCCGGCACACAGCACTCTGACATGGATGCCCGCAGGGCCGCCCTGAGCTCCGCCCGGCACACAGCACTCTGACATGGATGCCCGCACGGCCGCCCTGAGCATCGCCCGGCACACAGCACTCTGACACGGATGCCCGCAGGGCCGCCCTGAGCTTCGCCCGGCACACAGCACTCTGACACGGATGCCCGCACGGCCGCCCTGAGCGTCGCCCGGCACCCAGCACACAGCACTCTGCGGCGTTTCTTGTCTGCTGGTTGCTGTTGTCTCTGCCCAGATAGAACACGCATCCCTGGAGCACTGGGACGTTGCCTGTCTGCTCACTGGCAGCTCATGCAGCCCCCAGCAGGTGCCCAATGCTCTCGAGTGAGTGACAGGAAGCTGGGCACTGGCCTTCTGTCTTCAGGAGAGATGCTTCTGAATTGCTGCTCCATCTTTCTATGTTGGCTCAGACACACTTGCTGAAGTGTGTCTGAGTGAAGTGAAGGAAAATGACAAACAGAGCTCCCGCCACTGCCCAGGACTTGTCCCCGTGCCCCAGGGTGTATTCTGAGCTCCAGCCTCTCAGGCTCACGTGTTGGTTGACACAAGTGGACATGGTCACCCCAGGCAGCCAGCGGCCTGGGGCTCCACGGAAGGCCCATGAAGCACAGGTCAGAAGAGAACGGAGTCTTAAGTCACCTCAGAGGAGGCAGGAGAAGGTGATTTGCAGAATGAGCTCCATGTAGTTCCACAGGGATGAGGCATCAAAGGTCTCCTAATCCCCAGACAAATTTCTCCCATTTGTCTGGCTCTGACTCAGATGTCCTTAGGGGACAGGGCACCCAGCAAGCATCGTTCACCAGGAAAAGCGCATCCTTGTTCATTTCATGTGTAGCTGCAGCTGCCCTCCAATTCCCCCTTTAATTCCCTGACGCTTTAATCAGGCAAGTCACAGAGTGGGACGTGGGGGTGCAGGATGGGGGCTGGGAGTGAATGGGCTCCAGGGAGCTTCCTGCCTGCGGCCAGAGCCACACCGGGCAGATCCCTCCCCTGCCCCAGACAAACTGCATCGCAGACGAGACCTTCGAGTTCTTACAGTTTTAGGGTTCCTTTATCTTGAAGGAATTTGTTGTCACTCTGTGCCATGCGGCATGGTGCTTTTAATATGACTGGGATGGAACTCCCTAACGAGATACAGCTAAGACAAACCGCTGTCTTACTCACAAAGCCGTTGCAATACAGCTTGTGCCCGAGCCTCCATCACGGCTACCTGGCATCTGCGCGTGACGCTGCAGCTTTGGAGCAACCCACAGGCGTGGAGAGGAGCCACGCGTGGAGATCCACGGCATGGTGGGCTGTGCTTCTTCCGAGCCCACGGCTCTGCGGCCCACAGACTTCAGCTCATGCACCTCCTGGGTCTGCATGTGCAGTTGGTGAGCGTGGATGTGGGGCCCTGAGGAGTGGGTTGAGGAGGATGCCCCATTAACAAGTCGATTTACTCTCAATGACCCCAAATGGGTCCCGACCTTCAGTCCCCGGAGGCCCTTCCACAGCCCCTGGCCAAAGACCATGGGCAAACTTCAGACACCAGGGTAGATGGATTTGCCAGGCTGCACCGAGGGGAGCTGGGTGTCACGCACACAGTGCCAAGTCCAGCAGAGGGCATGGGCACGTTGCCTGTCCCCCACGTGTGGCTTCAGCACAGTTGACAGTTGACAGTTGGAGGTGTGTGTTCCTCTGCAGATCCTGGAGGCTCTCGTAAGTGCTGGCCTCGGCTTCACCGATATCAGTGGCTGGCTGGGGAACCTGGTGGGGCGGGGGTACTTCCTGATGTTCTAGGGTCTCCTGACAGAAAACAAATACCCCCAGGAAGGAAAAACACCCAAGCTATGAGTCACTAACATACCCAAGGGGTCAGCTGACCATGAGCTGGGAGAACAGGGGTGAGGAAAGAGACTCAGCAAAAGGTGCTTTGGGAGAATGGCCAACCAATCTCACCTGCTTGGTAATTCTGCCCAGGTTGGGCCTCAGTGGGTGTAGGGTGTTGGGCACATAGGGATGTGGGGAGAATTGGGGCAGTGAGGAGTCAGGAAGGTCCCACAGAGACACCTCCAGTGCCAGACAACCCACAGCCACCTTTGATTGGCAGCAACACAGAAGTCAGACTCAGACAGAAGACCAGGTATTTAGAAGTTAAATAAAACTGGACATGCATGCAGCTTGTCCTGAGCTAAATAAATGTCTGCAATTCATAAAACAGTCTAAAAGCCATGAGGCCCCTCAGTCAGTTCCCCGTGTAGTCAGTCACCTGCGGTTCTGACCCCTGGAGACCCCGAGAAACAGAGCCCAGCCCTGGCTTCAAGGTGTTCTGGGCTCAGCTGGCAGATGAAGACATGCAGACACCTTATCTCAGTCCCACGGAAGCTGCATGAGGAGGCCAGTGGTCCTCAAGAGACAGCGACATCGACTCTGCCTGCAGGGTCAGGAGGGTCTCCGAGAGGACTGGCATGGAGCAGGTGCTGTGCGTCCACATGTGGGTGATGGGTGGGGAAATCCCAGCAAGGAGGGACAAACAGCACCCCAGATGTGCAAGTCCAGACAGCTGGCGGGGGTGTGGGAGAAGCAGAAGACAATGACCGCCTCGAACTTCCACCTCGAGTGAGAGAACCATCTAGTGAAGTTCCTTAACAGAAAACGGTTCCTTCCAGGGATAAGTATCAAGGCCTACTGGTACCATGCGGCGCCTCTGTGAGCCCCAGATAACTTGGTGCCTTTTTGGTTTGAGCTCACAGATAAGCAACAGGGATGCTGTGCCTTCTAGTCATTCCTGACGATGACCAATGAGAGGAAGAAGGAGCCCTGATGATAACACAGGGGCAGGAGGAGTGGGGCGCCTGATGGGACCCTGGGGTCTGAAGCTTGGTGCCACCCTACTTACTGTCTGTCAGGCCGCGGGCAAGATATTGCCTCTATCTCAGTGTTCCTGTCTGCAAAACAGGCACAAGGTATTAACTACTTCCTGGCACCTGCCTAGCCAGACTCACGGACAGAATAGAGTTCAGAAAAAAACCTAAATCCGTGTATGAGCTGCTAGCATGTGACAAAGGCGGCACCTCAAGTCAGTGGTGAAAAGACGAATTATTAGTAACGATATTCAAACACTAGGTGACCACCTTCAGTTACATGCACACCTCACCCCAGCCACCAGCAGGACCCTACAGGGCCACAGTGTGAATGCTAGGGAGCAAAACCACAAGAGCACAGAGAGCATGGGGCCCCCATGACCCAGCCTGGGGAAGCCCTTCCATACCCCGCCACAAAGCCCAGAAGCTGGAGAACAGATGAAAAGTTTTTGCCCGAAATATTTTTTTCATGGCCAAAACACCTACAACAAAACAAAGTTGAAAGACAAATGACACGGGGAAAACATACAAGCAATTCCTACCTCAGACGGAGAGCTAATCTTTATAGCCAAAGAAATCTAACAGATCAACAAACAAATTGTTCACAAAAAAATGAATAAAAATGACCCTTCATCATATAAGAGATGCTCAGAGTGATTCATCAAAAGGTAAATTAAAGACTAAAACTACACTGAGATACCAGTTTTCATACATCTGCTCGGTGAAAGCCAAGCTTTCGACAACCTGCCGGAGGCCAGCCTCGCCTGCTGCTGGCGGGAGCACGGAACAGCACAAACTTCGATGGAGGAGAGTTCACTGCACTTAACAAAATTGCAAGCGCGTCTGGCTCTGACCCAGCAATTCTAAGAATTTACCAAATCAATGTAAAAATAATATTTTTAAAAGTATGTGTCTTCGGCCGGGCGCGGTGGCTCACGCCTGTAATCCCAGCACTTTGGGAGGCCGAGGCGGGTGGATCACGAGGTCAGGAGATGGAGACCATCCTGGCTAACACGGTGAAAACCCATCTCTACTAAAAATACAAAAAAAATAGCCGGGCGTGGTGGCGTGAGCCTGTAGTCCCAGCTACTCGGGAGGCTGAGGCAGGAGAATGGCGTGAACCCGGGAGGCGGAGCTTGCAGTGAGCCGAGATCGCGCCACCGCACTCCAGCCTGGGCTACAGAGTGAGACTGCATCTCAAAAAAAAAAAAAGTATGTGTCTTCAATGATACTTACATCCTAAATGCACATCAAGGAGAGGACCGGTCAAATGTCTCGGCAGATGCGTACAATAGAATACTATGAGGCGTGAAACAGAACACGAAGTTCTTTTTGTAGTCATATGAAAAGATCTCCAATAAATAATATTAAATTAAACATAAATACGCAACCCTCAAGTGTGGGCTGTGTAGACTGACTTCCTTCCCGAGAGTATGGAGAGGGAAGGAAAAGGATCACATCACCGTGGGGAGACCTGACCGACTCCCCTCAGCTGGGTGGCCGAGGCCAGTGTCCACAGCAAGCATCCGTGCTGGGTGTGTGAGTCCCTCACAGGATGGGGTGAGCAGGGCACTTCACCTCTGGGGTCATTGTCCCCAGGCCCCAAACCCCAGTCTTACCACGAGAAACACATCAGAACAATTCTAACAGAGACGCAGCTACCAAACACCCAACAGGCCTCCTCAAAACTGTCCCAGTCACCAAAAGCCAGTCTGAGAACTGCCCAGCCCCGAGAGGCCTACGGAGACGCGGGACAAAGTGTCATGTGGGACCCTGGATGGGTCCTGGGACAGAGAAAGGACATTTAGGGGAAACTAAAGACGTGAATAAACTTCAGACTTTAGCTAACAATCATGTGACAACACTGGTTCATTGATTGTAACAAAGTATCATTCTAACATAAACTGTTAACAGTGCAAGAAACTGGACGTGGGTATGTGGGAACTCTCTCTACGATCCCCTCAATTTTCTGTAGACCTAACACTGCCCTAAAAATAAAGTCTATTATAAAAATGAAAGAAAATTTAAAAATTTTTAAGTAACAAGGAGAAAAGTGTATGTAACATCCTGCCGTTGGTGTAAAAGTCAGGGAATATGTATTTGTATTGAACTGTATGTGCTAAAGGACCTCTGGGAAGTCACCTAAGACACCAGTGACAATGGCTGCCTCTTCCAAGAGGCAGGACTGAGCAGACGGGAGAGGAGGTGGGAGGAGTGAAGATTTTTTAACACATTTTGAAGTTGGAAATTTGTAAACTCGTTATTTAAAATGCTTAAATAAGGGAGGAGCGGGGGCTCGCCTCATGGGACCTGTCGAGGTGAATAAAGCAATGATTGTGAGGCCTCCCAGTGACGGTGAACTCCACCTACGGGATCCGCACAGGAAACATCACCCTTCGTCCTGGCCTGACCCGGCCCCGGGCGTGGTGGAGACCAATGCTCACTCCCCCGTTGCTGCAAAACCTCGGTGGCTTTAAACAACAGCAACTTCATTTTCTCAGGAAGCTGCCTCTGGGCAGCACCCCTGGGCTTGCCTCCGCTCCACTCAGCGCTGGACAGTTGTCTGAAGCTTTAGCAACCCCAGCCAGAGTCCATGCTCCTTTGAACACAGGTCCAAGAGCCCAGGGTCTGCGAAGCCCAGGTCAAGAAGCTCGGTGAGAGGTCTGAGAGGCAACAGGCGGGACCCACGGACACCAGCATGAATGTCCCGTTCCTCTCACTCTGTCTGGCGCTGGGATCCCGTAAACCTACAGCACATCCCACTGCAAATGTGAGGGCTCCACAGGAGACTCCTGAGTGGCACCGGGGAACGGTCAGCCCACAGGGCGTCAGGGGCCCTCCCCCAAATCCCTTCCCGGCTCCAGGATCTGCCCCTTTCTCACTTGGACTCCTCTTCCTAAGACAGGTCTTGCAAGGCTGATGGGGAATCAGAGAGAACGACCTGCTGGCCCAGCTCAGCGGTGTCGGGTGCTCTCCTGGGTGCCAGTTCCCAGATGCCCGGGTGTAGTCTGCAGAACCAGCTCCGTGTTATGCTTGAGAGTGACTGGTAGGTAGCAGGAATTCAACAAATACGAATCAAATGAACAAATGTTTCATAGCATTGTTCTGGAACCCCCTGGAAAGGGGCTCCAGGACCATGTGATCTCAAGGGTGCATTCTATGGGGGACACCCCTTTACGAGAAAAACTTGGGACTGTGACGTACCCCCTCCCAAACTGGGAAGGGTCAAAAGACCAAGAAATGACTCAGAAGGGTCCACGTTATCTGACGAGTCAATGTGTTGATCAGGATTTACCAAGGACACTGCTGCACAGTGGCAGGACAGCCCTGAGACCTGCGCCGCCTCCCGTCTCCAAACTATTTTAAGCTGATCTTCTGGCTTTCCCTCCTGTGTGTGTGTGATGGGGCTGTTTCCTCGGTGGGTTCTCAGAGCCTCTCCTCGATCTTTGGGTTCTCAGAGACACCAACTCCTGGCCTGGGCACCAGGGCCTTGGCTCACCACCTGGCTTTCAGGGCCCAGGCTGCGAACACAGGGCCTTAAGAACCTGGTGGGGGACCTGCCACCCTACAGATCCCACACCCCACCCTACAGATCCCGCACCCCACCCTACAGATCCCACACCCACCCTACAATCCCACACCCACCCTACAATCCCACACCCCACCCTACAGATCCCACACCCACCCTACAGATCCCGCACTCCACCCTACAGATCCCGCACTCCACCCTACAGATCCCACACCCACCCTACAGATCCCACACCCACCCTACAGATCCCACACCCCACCCTACAGATCCCACACCCACCCTACAATCCCACACCCACCCTACAATCCCACACCCACCCTACAGATCCCACACCCCACCCTACAGATCCCACACCCCACCCTACAATCCCACACCCACCCTACAATCCCACACCCACCCTACAATCCCACACCCCACCCTACAATCCCACACCCACCCTACAATCCCACACCCACCCTACAATCCCACACCCACCCTACAGATCCCACACCCACCCTACAATCCCACACCCACCCTACAATCCCACACCCACCCTACAGATCCCACACCCCCCCAAAGATCCCACACCCCCCCTACAATCCCACACCCACCCTACAGATCCCACACCCACCCTACAGATCCCACACCCACCCTATAATCCCACACCCACCCTACAATCCCACACCCACCCTACAGATCCCACACCCACCCTACAATCCCACACCCACCCTACAGATCCCACACCCACCCTACAGATCCCACACCCACCCTACAGATCCCACACCCCACCCTACAGATCCCACACCCCCCCTACAATCCCACACCCACCCTACAGATCCCACACCCACCCTACAGATCCCACACCCACCCTATAATCCCACACCCACCCTACAATCCCACACCCACCCCACAGATCCCACACTCCCCCTACAATCCCACACCCACCCTACAGATCCCACACCCACCCTACAGATCCCACACCCACCCTACAGATCCCACACCCACCCTACAATCCCACACCCACCCTACAATCCCACACCCACCCTACAATCCCACACCCACCCTACAGATCCCACACCCACCCTACAATTCCACACCCACCCTACAGATCCCACACCCCACCCTACAGATCCCGCACCCACCCTTCCAGCGTGGGGCTCTCGGAGAGGACGGCCTGAGCTCTTGCACTCAGCCCCTCGTGCTGTGGTGCCTGCCTTGCATTGAACCTCTCAGTGTCCTGTGGTCAGTGTCTGCCTGGGGTCGCGAGGACAGCTGTGGGCTGTGGTCTGAACATGCACAGGACCAAGGGCCACACACAGGGACATGGTCACGGCTGCTGCTGCTCAGGGAGACAGGCAGAGTCCAAAGCGTCTGTGCCCGGAGGGGCCATTGCCTGCCTCTGAGAGCAGCATCCTTCAGGCCGACTCTGTCGTCCCCAGGCACTTCCCATAAGTGACGATGTCTGCTATTGCTTGCTTTATTTTTTTTTTTATTGTTGGACAAAATTAAAAGTACATTTAAATCAGTCCTCAGCTATGGGGGGTTACTTAACCGGCCCATGAAGTCCAAAGCCAGCAAGCTTGTTTCTGGATTTACGGTTGAAGCTCGTGCCAAAGATGCCTCTGCGTTGGGAGGGGAATGTCCGTGTGCTACAAACCACACACACTTCAAACCCCCACAAAGCCCACACTGGGCTGCACGCATCAATGACGAGCCAGTATTTAACAAGGTGTCTGAATATCAGAAGGGTCTTCTCATTTATAACAGTAATGTAAATTTACAGACAGTTGTAAGAATTGCAAATTGTCCAAAACCTGCTTATCCTTCAAAAATGACAGTCTTCAGAATTCCATGAAAAAATAATGTCTCTTCCATAATAAACACAAATATTTGAAACACAGAAACAAACAGGTTGTTTCATAGAAACAGATGCCCAGGCGTCCACCAGACCAGAGGGCAGTGGTCACTCAGAGAAGAGCAGGGCCCTGGGAGAGCTGGCGACCGCCACGAGGCCAGAACTATGCATGTTCTTTATGAACTCCCAAAGGGTAGATTTTGCTGTGCTATGCCCTGGACTTAAGCCAGGATGACCCTCAACCTCCTAGGTAAATGACTAAACCCAAGCCCGCTGATGCAAGGTGGGTCCTGACCTCTGACCCAGACACTCCACCATCCTCTTTGAGCTCCTTGCGGTGACACACGTCCTCGGGGCCTGTCCAGACAGGGGTTGTGGCATCTGATGGCCATCAGCTTGTCTCAGAGACCAGGGGTCAGCCTCAGGTGCAAGCCCAGCTGAACAACAGAGGCCCTGAGCAGCCCCAGCCATTCCAGCCACGCCACTGTTCTTGTCCTCAGATTATTTTCTGTGCAAAGGGAAAGGGGCTGTTGCAAGAAGCAGACCCTCCCTGGTCACGGCACCCTACACTGCCCAAGGCTTCCCGGTCCTGACTGCCCCCCACAGTCGTGCGGCTGCCCCAATGGCCAGAGCTGCCTCTGCTGCCCCCAGCATTCAGTGGAGCAGGGGTGCAGGGTGAATGAATGGTAATCCGTTCAGAGAACCTGAGCAAACGCTGTGCAAGCTGCTGGCTTTGAAAGGAAGTTGTCATCACATGCAGGGAACCCTGTCTTACCAGCCGACAGGTGGATGACCTTCTCCCCTGGCAAATCCCCAGAGAAACAGACTCAGAGCTTCCCTCAGGAGTGACAGCCCCACATGTTCCCTGCATGAAGGGACAGAAGGTCGGACCTTGCAGGTCACCAGGGGTCCCCTCTGCACCCAGGTCCATCGTCAGGGCTGGAGTCAAGCTGGGCTCCACCCGCTGCAGGTGCAGGAAGCCAGGGGTTCGAGGGCGAGGGTGTGGCCTGCGTCACCTGCCACATGCACATATTTCCTACTGACGCCTGCACGCTCCTGATTTAAGGTGACGTCTTTATAGCACTAAGCGCGTGGTAAAAATAAACCCACACAGCCCATCCGCCGCACTGTGTTGCAATTTATTCTCTTAGGAAATTTCCAGCGAATGGCTACAGAGTTGCCGAGGTTGAGCTAGAATTTCAGTTCTTCAAGGACCCAGGTCTGCGCGGAACCCAGGGGTGTGGCAGGAAAAGGGACCAGAAGCCACATGTCAAGAGCCTGGGGGAGGCTTCTGCCAGCAAGTCTGACCACAGCCATTCTGATGCGGAATCATCTTTTTTCCCTGAAGCATTCCAAGGCCTGTACAGGATGCCAAAGAGCTGCTCTAGCTCCTTACAGAATGGATGCGGGCTTTTTTCCTGTGCAGGTGGGAAGGAGGCTGCAGGAGCCTGTCAGTGGGAGCTGCTCCTGCCGCAGCCGCTGCCAGCTCTGTTCTGAAGCACTGGGAACAAGAAGGCATCGACCTGTGTGTGTGCAGGAGAGAGAGTGTCGGCTTCAGGCACTACGAGCCCTTGGAGAGCAGAGATGCCGGGCTGTGTGCCCGAAGGAGAGCGGAGAGGGATAGGGGTTGCCAGGGCTCGGGGAGACCACAGCCCAGAGGTTGCAGATGCCGTCAGGGCTCAGGGAGACCACAGCCCAGAGGTTGCAGATGCCGTCAGGGCTCCCGGAGACCACAGCCCAGAGGTTGCAGATGCCGTCAGGGCTCCCAGAGACCACAGCCCAGAGGTTGCAGACGCCGTCAGGGCTCCCGGAGACCACAGCCCAGAGGTTGCAGACGCCGTCAGGACTCAGGGAGACCACAGCCCAGAGGATGCAGACACCGTCAGGACTGGGGAGACCACAGCCCAGAGGTTGCAGACGCTGTCAGGACTCAGGGAGACCACAGCCCAGAGGTTGCAGACACCGTCAAGGCTCCCGGAGACCACAGCCCAGAGGTTGCAGACGCCATCAGGACTCAGGGAGACCACAGCCCAGAGGTTGCAGACGCCATCAGGGCTCAGGGAGACCACAGCCCAGAGGTTGCAGATGCCGTCAAGGCTCCCGGAGACCACAGCCCAGAGGTTGCAGACGCCATCAGGACTCAGGGAGACCACAGCCCAGAGGTTGCAGACGCCATCAGGACTCAGGGAGACCACAGCCCAGAGGTTGCAGACGCCATCAGGACTCAGGGAGACCACAGCCCAGAGGTTGCAGACGCCGTCAGGACTCAGGGAGACCACAGCCCAGAGGATGCAGACGCCGTCAGGACTGGGGAGACCACAGCCCAGAGGTTGCAGATGCCATCAGGGCTCAGGGAGACCACAGCCCAGAGGTTGCAGACGCCGTCAGGACTCAGCCCCTGGGCCAGGGGTGCCCTCAGGCTGCTTCCCAGGGAGGAGCTTCATGGGCCCCATCCGGGGGATGCTCCTCTTTCTCGGGCTCCTTTGAACGGACTGAGGCACAGGCTTGCTCCACACACACAAGCTCTCCAAGGCCAGCCCCAGCCCAGCAGCATAAGCTCTGCCTGGTCCCTGGCGGGGCCCGGTCAACAGGTCTCCCTGTGCCCCCAACAAGCCCCCAGATGGTGCCACGGCTGCCCGAGCCCTCCAGGGGCTCCATGTCCAACCCACCTGGTCCACAGTCTCCCAGCACCAACCAGGGCTGGGGGGCCTCCTCCCCATTCCCCTTGGGCCATAGCAGCTCCAGTCCCAGCCATGGCCTCTGCTGTGCGGCTTCTTGGCTGGAACCCCACCCCTAAAGCGTGTGCTGTGCTTTCTCAGTGAGGCCACCCCTCTAACATCACAGCCCCCACGCTCCTCCCCAGCTTCCTCACAGCGTTTCTTCTGCACCACATTAGGCCGTCTTCTCGTTCGTTTCATCGTCTCACACACGTACAGGTTCATCAGCCTGTAGGCTCCACAAGGGCCTCAATGTTGATACATTTGTGTTATTAAAAATTTCAAACATAATACAAAAGTAGAGAAAATAGTAAGACAAACCCCAGTGTCCAGTCCCCTGGCTTCAGTAATTATCAATACTCGCCCATCTTGCTCATCCACATCCCACTCTCTCATACGTGGAAAAGCAAATCCCGCACATTATATCATTTTCCCTGCAAATGCTGCTGAAATGCAAGGAGTATTAAAGAGGGTAACCACAATAACACTGTCACACCTAAACACGAAGTAGCCTTAAAATCAAATAAACAGTCCAGGTGCGGTGGCTCACGCTGGTAATCCCAGCACTTTGGGAGGCCGAGGCAGGCGGATCACCTGAGCTCAGGAGTTCAAGACCAGCCTGACCAACATGGTGAAATCCCGTCTCTACTAAAAATACAAAATTAGCCGGGTGTGGTGACGTGCGCCTGTAATCCCAGCTACTTGGGAGACTGAGGCAGGAGAATCGCTTGAACCCAGGATGCAGAGGTTGCAGTGAGCTGAGATCGTGCCATTGCACTAGAGCCTGGGCAACAAGAGTGAAACTCTGTCTCAAAAAAAAAAAAAATCAAATAAACAGTCAATATCCAGAATTCTCCAATTAGTTGTTACCACTCTTCTCCCTTTTGATCTGCTGAAGGAGCTGGGTGTTTGCCCTGTGGAATCCCTCCCTCCAGCACTGCAGGCTGCGCCCCCCGGTGCCACCCGCATATGCTCCTCTGAGCCGGTACTTCCTGGGACCCTGGGACAGACCCAGAGGTTGGCAACATAAGCTTCGTTTCTCGGCAGGAGTGAATTCACAGGGCTGTGTGCTTCCCAGCGTGTCCTTCAAGGAGCTCTTGGTGTCGACGCCAGCACTCGGTCCTGGACTGTCCACAGCGAATCTTACCACACTCCTCTCGCATCCGTTAGCCGGGTTTTCCATGAGAACTTTCTGGTTGGTCACAATGCGTCCGGGAAAGGCAGGAGGAGCACTTGTTGCCTTCGCTGACGCATTTTCAGGAGAATGAGTTGGTTCCTGGCATCATTCTCTCTGGTTTCCAGCTTTTTCTTCTTTTTTGTTTTTGTTCTTTTCATTTTTTGCTTTTTTTTTTGCTTTTTTTTTTTGCGGGGGGGATAGTTATGAACCCATGAGATGTGAGTTGTGTAACACATTTCAACCCATTTCAGCCCCACCTGTGGCCAGCAGGTCCCTTCCCCTTTGGTGTGTGTCCTTTTGACGGACTAGAGTATTGGTGAGTCAGATGTCCAGGCTCTGGGCCGGCCATCTCTGAGGAGGAACCAAGATGTTTGGCTGTTGTGTTCACCCTGTACACCAGCAGCGTTCTATAAATGCCAGGTGAATGAATGGGCTAGCGAAGGCGCTGATTGAAGTCTCATGTACAGATACAACTGAGCAGCCGCCCTCCACCTGGTTCCCCTGCCGTCTCCAGGAGTTCCCACCTGGTTCCTGCAAACACGCTTTCATCTGGGGTTAGCAGCATCATGTTCTCCAGCTCCTCCTTCCTCTTCCTTCTGCATATGCTCCGGCGGCTCCTCCTGTGGCCCTGGCTTCAGTGCCCTGAACTTGGCACTGAACCTGCAGCTGGGGGACCCGAAGCCCTCACGGCACTGGGTCCTGGTCTCCGAACCCTGATCAAGTGGTCCTCACGTTGTGCTCCGAGCTTGCCCCGAGTCATGAGCTCTGTGCTCTGTTTCTGAGCTCCTGGAAGTTTTCTAAAAACCAAAAACAACTCCATGGTACAATTCTCACAATCCCACCGCCACGCACAATGCCTCCACTTAGTGGTGACTGTTCTCTCCCTGTTGGTGCCAAGACTTCGGGTAGCCGCGTTCTTCCCACTCCTGGGTCCACCAACAGGGACCCCCCGATTCTCTGATTTGCTCTAGCTTGACCCTTCAAGCACCAGTGTGTGTGGGGTGGGTGCACTGCAGCCCTGGGGGCCAAACACGTCTTCCCTGGACAGCTTGATAGAGACAAGGTTCCGGCTCTCTGACGAGTGGCTCGTTGGGAGGAGCCTACGCTTCTCTCCTTTGCTTATTCCTCCACTAATTAGTATATTTCCCACTTTGAAAATGTGCTTTTGGTCACCACCAGACATGAAGCCTCCGTCCTGCTGCCATCCCCTCTCCTCAGACAAAACAAAGGTAATTTTCCTGGCCTCCCAACACCACTTTCTTACAGGAAAGATAGGCTGCCAGTTTTCAGGAGTTTTTCTTGTTTCATTTGTGGAGCAGGCCATACAAATTCAGAAAGCAGAACTCCTCCTCTTCTGGATCCAAAATAATCTACGATCTGGACTCTCCGGGACACAGGATCCAAAATAATCTACGATCTGGGCTCTCCGGGACACGGGATCCAAAATAATCTACGACCTGGACTCTCCGGGACACGGGATCCAAAATAATCTACGACCTGGACTCTCCGGGACACGGGATCCAAAATAATCTACCACCTGGGCTCTCCGGGACAGCGGGTCCAAAATAATCTACGATCTGGGCTCTCCGGGACAGCAGGTCCAAAATAATCTACCACCTGGGCTCTCCGGGACACGGGATCCAAAATAATCTACCATCTGGGCTCTCCGGGACAGCAGGTCCAAAATAATCTACGATCTGGACTCTCCGGGACAGCGGGTCCAAAATAATCTACGATCTGGGCTCTCCGGGACACGGGATCCAAGATAATCTACGATCTGGGCTCTCCGGGACAGCAGGTCCAAAATAATCTACGATCTGGACTCTCCGGGACAGCGGGTCCAAAATAATCTACGATCTGGGCTCTCCGGGACACGGGATCCAAAATAATCTACGATCTGGACTCTCCGGGACACGGGATCCAAAATAATCTACGATCTGGACTCTCCGGGACACGGGATCCAAAATAATCTACTATCTGGGCTCTCCGGGACAGCGGGTCCAAAATAATCTACGATCTGGGCTCTCCGGGACAGCGGGTCCAAAATAATCTACGATCTGGACTCTCCGGGACACGGGATCCAAAATAATCTACCACCTGGGCTCTCCGGGACACGGGATCCAAAATAATCTACGATCTGGGCTCTCCGGGACAGCGGGTCCAAAATAATCTACGATCTGGACTCTCCGGGACAGCCTTGATGCACCCTCATCATTCTGGTTAGACAAAATGCCTGCAACACACACTCACACCAACACGCAGCCTCTCTGTCAGCTCCTTTTTACCAACTGGGAGGAAAAGCCCCAGACCTGCGCTTCATGCAAAATTCGTCTTTTCCTCTGTCCTGACACACGAAAGTGAAATTGCTTCCAGCCACGACGGCTCACCTGCAGGGCACAGGGCAGCACACAGGGGAGCACACAGGGCAGCACCAGGCAGCCCACAGGGAAGCGCACAGGGCAGCGCACAGGGGAGCGCACAGGGGAGCGCACAGGGCAGCGCACAGGGCAGCGCACAGGGGAGCGCACAGGGGAGCGCACAGGCAGCACGGTGCACGCTGTGCCGTTTGCACCGCAGGTTCCTGTTTTCAGTTGCAGTTCTACCTGCACTCTGCTCTACAAGGTTCCTCTTCCTCTTTTCCTCCCCAACTGGCACCTCTCTCTCTTCCTCTCTTTCCCTTTTTCTTTTTCAAACAGCTTCATTGAGGAAAAAATGCCTGTACTACAAAAATCAACCATTTAAAGTGTAGAATCCGGTGGTCTTTTGTACATTCCCAAGGTTGTATGACTCTCTAATTTTAGAATGTTTTCATTACACAAAAAGGAAACCCCATACATTAGCGGCCCCTCCCCCGCCCCTCTGAGCCCCTCCCCCAATCCCTCCCCAACCCCCCAGCCCCTCCCCAGCCCCTTCCAACGCCTCCCCAACCCCTCCCCAACCCCTCCCCAGCCCCTCCCCAACCCTCCCCAGCCCCTCCCCAACCCCTCCCCAGCCCCTCCCCAGCCCCTCCCCAGCCCCTCCCCAGCCCCTTCCAACCCCTCCCCAACCCCTCCCCAGCCCCTCCCCAACCCCTCCCAAGCCCCGCCCCAGCCCCTCCCCAGGCCACGCAACCAGTGTCCACTTTCTGTCTCTGGATTTGCCTCTTCTTACCTCTTCGTATAAATGGAATCATACACTACGCGGCCTTCTGTGTGTGGCTTCTTTCACTGAGCATGATCTTTTCACGGCTCATCCATGTTGTCATATGACAGGGCTTCATTCCTTTTTATTTTCACATAATAGCACACTGCACAGATATACCACTTTTTTTTTTCTTTTTGAGGCAGAGTCTCGCTCTGTCGCCCATTCTGGAGTGCAGTGGCGCGATCTCGGCTCACTGCAACCTCCGCCTCCTGAGTTCAAGCGATTCTCCTGCCTCAGCCTCCCGAGTACCTGGGATGACAGGCGCCCGCCACCACACTCAGCTAATTTTTGTATTTTTAGTAGAGACGGGGTTTCATCATGTTGGCCAGGATGGTCTCGATCTCCTGACCTCAGGTGATCCGCCTGCCTCGGCCTCCCAAAGTGCTGGGATTAAAGCGTGAGCCACCGCGCCTGGTAGATGTACCACATTTTCTTGTCTGTTGATGAACTTGGGGCTGTTTCCACTTTTTCGCTGTTATGAATAACACCAGGTACACGTGTTACGGGGGACGTGTTTCTGCTTCTCTTTGGCTACATCTAGGCGTGGATTGCTGGGTCGTGTGGGAAGTCCGCGCCTGTTATCTGAGGAGTGACCGGCTGTTTTGCAGTGGCTGCGCCCGCCCACGTTCCCGCCGGTGGTGACAGGCTGGTTCCTCCCCCGCCTCCCCAGCACTTGCCATCTGTCCGTGAGGAGGGCGGTCCTGCTGCCGAGGACCCTCGTTCACGGGCCGCTCTTTCCGCTGTGTTTCCCACCCCACCCATCTCTGTTCTTTGAGCTGGAACTCGGGGTCAGCCATCCGGAGCTTCCACCCACAGCTTCCCTTTGACTTTTCCAGGTCCACCTCTGTGCTTCTCCCATCCCTCTTCTTACAAAAGTGCCTTTCTGCTGCCAGTCTTGCGGCCACACCTGCACAGAACAACAACTTTTTCAGGATTCTTTAGTAAAATAATAAAATGATTAAGCATAAACACAAAGAACATGCTTTTATATCAAATATACTGCAATGGGGGGGGTCGCTATGCAAGCACAGGGGAAGGCGCTTTGTTCTTAGGTGCAAGCACCACTTTCTCACAGGCAGACATGTTAATAGTTTAGACGAGCAGAGCTAATCCCTCCTGGAGCCCCGGCTCTCCCGGACCCAAGCTTCACAAAGCACCTCTCCCGGCACGGCCTGGGCACGTGAGTGAGGAAGAGACGTCCTGGATGTGGGAAATTCTTCCCCGGGAGCTCTCCCAGCCCCTCCGTTCCCACTATCTTACACCCCTCACACTCTAGCTACTGCAGGGGCATCTCTGAGGCTTCACTGGCTGTTCATTGCGTCTCCTCCCCACACAGTAACCTCCCAGGCCTCCCCACATCCACCAGAACGGAACCCAACCTCCATGCCAGGTTCATGAGCTAGCTACGGCCACAGAACAACACTTAGTGACTCCCACAACAGTGAACGTTGATTATCCTCAAGGTCTTTGGCTCAGGGGTTTGGCGCTGCTCAGCTGAGCCTGTTTGGGGTCTGCTGTGAGGTTGCAGTCGAGAGGTAGGTCGACGGTAGCCCCCTCTCAAGGCTGGGGAGGCTTCAGTTCCCCACAGGGTGAGCCTCACAGGCTGCTTACAGGCCCTGCAACAGGGCAGCTGCTCCCCCAAAGTGAATGACAAGAGAGTGCACCAGGCAGAAGCCATCCTTTTCTGACCTCACCTGGGGAGTCTCAGAGCATCACTCCCACCATATCCTACTCACTAAAGGCAGGTCCGGAGGCACAGCCCGCGTTCAGGGGAGAGGAACCGGGCTCTACCTTTTGGAAGGAGGGCTGTCAAAGTAGCAGATATACTTTAAACCATCATGCCAGGTATCCAAGACCCCACAGCCTGTCCCAGCCCAAGGTCCCTGTTGCCTAAGGAGATGCACAATGAACATTTGCTCATTAAAGTTTCTGACAGTCCTGCAGGTAAGCAACCTGTTTGGTTGTGTTCAGTTCCAAGTTTATGTGCACATAGAACACGTACAGCAATATGTCCAAGGCCTTTGTTTGGTGTACGGTAATGAGGAAGCAGACGGCAAGCTCTTTGGGGGCCAAGCGGGTGTGTCATACACACAACCCCGACCACAGTGCACACATGGGAGGCTTCCAAAACTGTGGACCAAATAATAATACCTCAATAGTATACTTATTTCCTTTGCACATCAAGGTCAAATTCTAAAAAGGAAAATGTCTATATAACAGAGAGATTTCTAGGCTGTCCTTATGCCCAGAAGCCCGCATTCTATATGGTAAACGTTGACTCCGACCAGGAAGCCCCCAGAAGGTTTTTGTAGCCAACTTTGACCCAGACGACGGACAGTTTCCATTGAAGGCACACGTCTTCCATGAACATGGATGTTAAGATGACACCTCCTAACACCCGCAGGCAGGGGCCTCTTGACCTCTCTCCTGCGGTTGTGTCCTTTGCGGGTCAGGTTGCCGGAGAGACAACCACCCACGCTGTGAGCTGCAGAATTATTCACCTGCGTGGCTTACAGAATCAGCTAGGCCTGGTGGCTCAGCACTGCGGGAGGCCAAGGCAGGAGGATCCGCTGAGGCCACGAGTTCCACACCAGCCTGGGCAACATAGACCCCATCTCTATTTTTCAAAAACTAAAAATAAAATAAAACCATCTCCTAGACCTTGGGCACTAGGACAAAACACGAAAAGCTGGGATCTGCCACTGCCTGCGGGGCAACCGGACCTGGCCTCCCTGTTTGGTGAGCTAGCTTCTGAAAGCTCAGTCTTCAGTTTCTCTTTGCTGCCCCTTCAACGTCACCCTGAGACCTTCAAATGCTTTACGTCTGTCCTCCAAGTCCAGGCCCGCGTTCCAGGGGACCCATTCCCCACCAGGCTCAGCCTTTTCCAGACAGCACCTCATGTCAACGCAGGGCTTGTCAGTGCCTTTATTATCTGTCTCCAGTGATGTTCTCCCAGCTTGTCTCCTGACTGTCTGGGACAAGCCCTCAATCCTACCCAGGCTGATGACCATCAAATCTGGCACCTCCAAATTAAGCCCTGGGGTGGCCATGACACTCCAGCGACAGTGCCTGCTGCCCGAGCACGCTGGACAGAGGGATGTGTGGCTGGGCGGACGGGCCATGAGTCTCTGAGGACGACAGGGCCGGTGGCCACCCCCAGCTCATGTGTGGAGAAAGACTCCTCTCCAGTTGAGTGGGTGCTGCTTTCTGGACGACTCCCTCCCCGGTGTCAGCGTGGGACACCCCAGGACTCCCGGCTGCAGTGGGACTGGAGTTGAGCTGGGCCAGCTCTCCTGCGGTTTGCCCGTCCGAGCCTTTCCTCAGGCTCAGCACCTCCTTCCTGCACGTTCTGGTCAGTCATCTCTACGCCCATCACGATTTCTCAGTGTTTGCCCACCAGGGCGCCTGTCAGCTGCAGGAGGCCAGCAAAGCCGCCCGGCCCCACGAGGCCTCGAGGTCCTGGGCTCCTGGCTGCCCCCACAATCCACGCTCATCCTTCACCCGCCTTTAATTTACTCCTGACACTGGGGTCTTAAGCCTCCGGCCTCAGCCACCCTGCAGCTCCGAGCTCCACGGCAACCCCGAGCAGGTCCCTCGATACCAGGAGGACCCGAGAGTGGTGTCGGGAGTGGTGGCTGCTGTAGAGACAGCCTGTGGTCACCCAGCTGCCAGGATGCTGGCCAGAGTCTGGAGTCGGCCTCCAGGGCTCACAGCACCTCAGCGTCCTGCAAGCTGCACCGCTGGCCTCAATCTCACCGAAGCTCGGAGCCGAAGCCCTTGCCGGCCTCTGCAGCACCCGAGCCACCAAAGCTGCCGGGGCAGGCCCCTCCGAGCTCTGCCCAGCCCCCAGGACCAGGCACCGTCCCCTGAGCACAGAACAGATTCCCCCACAGGGCTGCAGGGAGAGGAAGCTCAGGGCTGTGACTCCACCCACGGGAAGGATGTGCTGGAGGAAGGTGTGGGGTGACGGTGGACCAAGTCCACCTCCATGGGCCCCGCGTCGCCTCCCCTCCCCTCCAGTCCCGCCCAACTCAAACCTGCCTCACCTCAGACCCAACCACAGAGACCCCTCAGCCCCTCCTGCCACCTAGCTGCCCATAGCCAGGCCCCAATGGCCCCACTGCTGGCTCCTGTGAGGCTACCGCCCTCCCATATGGTGGCCCCTGTGGCACCCCAGCCCCTCAGAGAGATGCTTTGAAACAGGAACCTGGAGAGGAAAGGGCAGAGGCTGCACAGCGCAGGGCCCAGCGAGGCCAAGAGACTTGTCCAAGATGGAGCGGCCTGAGGGTGCGGCCCCGGAGTGAACCGAGAAGCGTCTGAGCACCAGGGCCAAGCTCGTGCCCCTCACTCTCCCCACCGAGGGCATCGAAGGAGGCTGGGTGCCCACTCAGAAGAAAAATCGCAAGTCAGTCACCCCCTGGGATGCCGCCTCTGCCACCTGCCAGGTGTCCCACCACCCCACGCACACAACCCGCCACTTACACAGGAGGTGTGAGTCCATGGAGGCAGATCTGATTCTCCAAGGGACACCGGGCCCTGTGCCACCAGCTCCAAGCAGTGTGGGCACCTCGGGTCCATGCCTGGCTTTAGGCAGGTCGGCCAGCCGTACCCGGGAGCCACACAAGGGCTGTTTTCACCCATGGACTTCTAGCAAGCTCATCACGCAGCTCCTGACCCTGCAAGCTCTCTCCACCATTGGGAAGAACAAAATCACCAAAGTTGAAAAGTCTTTACCCACCACTTCCATACGTTTTGTGATTTTTAATGACACCGTGCAAACACTGGACAGGAGACCCGGTTCCAAGACAACCCAGCCTGGACGAGACTCGAGGCAACCATAAAAACCGTAGACCCTGAGGTTTGACTGCACCATCGGCCCCTGTAAGATACACCCTGCTCCCCTCTGCGACGAGTCCTGGGCTGCTCCGGTGTTTCGACGACATCCGGCCCTGGCCCCACGCACCAGAGACAGCACTTGCTTAAACCTAACACAAAGGGTGGACGCTGGCACCTCCCTCTCCCTCAGTGCTTCTGGGGGAGCACAAGCCCTCCCACCCACCACCCAACTCAAATTTCTTAGGGAGAAAGGGTGGAAATTGCTGGAGATAATTACTGTGAGGCTTTTTGGTTGGGGTTTTTGTTGGGGCAGGGGTACTGACTGAGACGAGAACTTTTCTTTTTGCTATCTCTTCCCTTCCCTAAACCCCTGTTGTGAATCACACACATAAAAAATGTGGCCAGGCGCAGTGTCTGACGCCTGTAATCCCAGCACTTTGAGAGGCCGAGGCAAGAGGACCACCTGAGCCCAAGAGTTCAAGACCCACCTGGGAAATAAAGAAAGACCCCGTGCTGGCCGCGCGGTGGCCATGCCTGGAATCCCAGCACTGTGGGAAGCTGAGGCGGGCGGATCACGAGGTCAGGAGATAAGAAACCACCCTGGCTAACACGGTGAAACCCCATCTCTACTAAAAATACAAAAAATTAGTGGGGCGTGGTGGTGGGCGCCTGTAGTCCCAGCTACTCGGGAGGCTGAGGCAGGACAGTGGCGTGAACCCGGGAGGCGGAGCTTGCAGTGAGCCGAGATCGCGCCACCGCACTCCAGCCTGGACGACAGAGCGAGACTCCGTCTCAAAAATATATATATATATTGCCCCGGGACCCCACCTGTGGCCGCGTGGGTGGCTGTGCCTGTCCTGGGACCCCCGCGTGCTCCCGTGTGGTGCCTTTCTCTGGGCTTCACGCTTTGAGTCCGTCAGGGGCTCCATCCCTTGCTGTGGCCAAGAGGACTCCACCATATGGGTGCCCAGCATGTCTGTGGGCGGCTGGTTTCCTCTGAGACACCCCGGCCTGGGCCCCTCTGTGCCCCCCACCACCAGCGGACCTGCCCCTTCAAGGAGGGTCGCGGGGTCCTGGTCCTGCGGACCGCAGCAGGGGGTACAGCACTGGCGTCTGTCTGTTTTCCAGAGGCTTGCGTGGCCCCTGGACACCCTTGTGTGCTCACGGCCAGCGTGAGGGAAACGCTGTGCTCGGCGGGACAGGCCAGACTCTCCAATGAATAAAGGGCAAAAACTGCACTTACCTCAGCTATGCAGGAAAAAATCAGAGCAAAACCTTCCCAAAACAACTGCAGGGGCCACCCAGGCTCCCGAGGACACTTCCTACCTGAAAGCGTGTGAGGCTCCAGGCCTTTCGGGTGAGCCCTGGCCTGGACAATGGCCCCTGGACACCGGCCCTCCGGCAGGGAGAACAGGCTCGGGCACCCCACCCTGACGCCCTGGCCTAGGCCTCCCGAGGGAGCTGGGTGGGAAGCCCCTGAGCCACCGAATCAGCATTTCCATGTCAAAGGGTCTTAGCCGTAGCCCCGGCTTCTGTCCCTGTGATTTCATCCTGGGACTTCCTGGGCATCAAAGTGGGGCTGGAACAGGCCTGAGCTGAGCCCCCAGTGCCCAGAACAAGGTGGGAGGAGTCCCTGGCCTCAGGGCCTATGCAGAGGACAGCGGCCAGGGGACACCCTGGGCCTCAGCCCGTGTATGGCTAGTATGGCTACAGCCCCCCATTGTCCCTGGCCTGTCACACAGCCCCCCATTTCCCCTGGCCTGTCACTCAGGCCCCCCTGCCCCTAGGCCTCTGTCCTGAGGTTACAGAGATTGGCATCCTGGCCTCTCAGGCTCCTGAATTCTAGTTTCCGTTTTATTCACATCCATGGACTGGGGCTGGGAACAGAGGGTGAGTCCACACTCAGACACGCTGGACCTGGGCTGGGGCGGAGATGTGAAAAGCAGCGCCAGGCCTGGTGGGAGGCGGGGGCCTCAGAAGGAGGCAAACGCTGGTCCAACATCATGCGGGCCGCGAGGCTCTTCTCCCCCTCCAGATCCTTTCTGTAAACCAGGAAGGGCCTTTGCACGGTAGGAACACTGCTAAGGGGCCACACAGTCTAGGAGAAGCTCCCCGTACCAGCCTCGTGCCCCGCCAGGACCCAGGAGCACGAGGCCCCAGCTCACTGACACTGCTGGGAGTGTATGCAAAGGGAGAAGGAGAGAAAAAGCATTGTTTATAATGCAAGGAAAAAGGGAACCTAAAATCTCAACATCCATTGATGGTGTTCACAAAATAAAAACCTTCACAACCATTAGCCTGATGTAAATCCACAGTTAAGGTCACAGAAGTCTGTCCACAAGATTCCATTTTAAAAATCAATCCAGAAAATTATACAAATATATAAAATGTGCTCCTAATTTGGAAAAGCCTGAAAACATACTGTCGTGTGCATAAAAGGAGAAAAGGTCCGCAGTGGCCTACACGAAGGGATGAAAACAGATCGCCCCTGGGTCGTGAAAATGGGTAATTTCATCAGTGGGAGAACAATAGTTATGTTTATTTTGTGATTTTTAAAAAACAAGCCCCCCCAGATCTGCTCTCAAAAGTAGGTTAAAAGGGGTCCCACATCCCCAGCCCAGGACAGGAAAAGCCACACTCCTCCTAGGGACACGGCGTCCGTTTCCCTGGACGGAAGATTGTCGTTGGCGATTTGCACAGCCACACACACGCACCCCTACACATACCCACTCAAGGACACACATGGGCACACCCCCACACACCCGAGTCAGGTCAGCATCCCGCAGGAGGTCAACGCCCGGGGGTGGAGAGAGGACCCTGGGGGTCCACACAGACTGTTCCAGGGACCCTCTGGTTCCACAAGCTGGCAGGGACTTAGGGCCCCTCAGGGAGGGTGCCGACTCCCAAGACCCCCCACAGCCTTTCCTGGTGTCCCCACCACACACCGCTGAGCACGGCCCGGCCCCCAGCTGCAGACCTCGTGGCCTTTCCCCACCGGCCGTCCTGCAGACCCGACTCCCGCCCCGCTCTATACACACCTGGGAGCTCTCTGTTGCCTTAGACCCTGAGAGAGCGGCTACTGTCGGGCTCCTTCGCTTCAATATTCTGCCTGGCCACAGCCCTTTCAAAAGAAAAAGAAAGTCAATAAATCTCTCAAAATAGGGTCCATCCCGGGACCTGGCTGCCCTGCGCGCACAGACAGGAGAACAAAAGGGCCCGCCCGGTGGGAAAATGGTTCCCCGAGGCCACCTCCCAGAGCTACGCTCCCAGTTTCGCGCCCGTCAGCCCTGCCCGCTGTAGGGGTGGAAGGCCGGGCTCTGGAACCCAGCCCCTGGCTCCAGGGAAACCACCGCCTGGACTGACCTGCCAAGAGGCCGTTTTCCCACAGGTCAGCGCTGGACGGGGCTGTCGGTGGGCTCAGGAGCCTGCACCCCATCCTCTTTACCGGGAGCCTTCACCCTCTTCTCTCAGGCAGCAGAAAAAACTCTCAGTGAGGAGAAAAGAAAACCTGCACCAGCCCCTCACTCTGAAGGAGGGGCTCCCAGAGGCCGACCCCAGCCCACCAAGGATCAGGGTTTGCAACCCCAGCCTCTGAAGGGTCAGCTCGTGGACTGAGAGGGCTACTCGCTCATTTGTCTGTTGTCAGGGAAAA
Source organism: Homo sapiens (assembly GCF_000001405.40). NCBI lineage: Eukaryota > Metazoa > Chordata > Mammalia > Primates > Hominidae > Homo > Homo sapiens. Next base: position 7,770 of record NW_025791804.1, on the reverse strand, counting down.
GAAACTTGGACTCAGGATGGCCAGGCTAGAGAGACCCCACAGTCCTCCAAAGAGAAAAAATTCTCAACAGCCAACTGTGGGGAGGATGGCGTCGGGAGAGCACATACGGCTTGAGGCTCTTTCCAGCGAAAACCCCGGGTGTGATATAATGACCGGCTCCCCCAAACCCTGAGTCCAGGGCATTCCACAGGAAACATAAGGACAGTTTTGAAAGAATGAAAATGTGTGTTTTGCTTTGAACAGAACAAGACGTATACGTTCACAGCCACGTTATTCACAACAGCCAGAAGGACCGTTGCCAGATGAGTGAATAAAACGTGGTCCATCCACATGAAGGGCTGTGACCCAGCCTGGAAGAGGAAGGAAAGTCAGACGCTTGCTGTGACACGGATGAACCCTGAGGACACTGTGCCGAGGGAAATAACCGGACACATAAGGGCAAATCCTGCTGATTCCACTCGTACGCGGTCCCTGGGTTGTCAGCTTCATAGAGGCAGAAACAGAACGGTGGGTGCTGGGGGAGGGGGACTGGGAAGTTCGTGTTTAATGGGGACAGAGTTTCGGCTCGGGAAGATAAAACATCTGGAAATTGACAGTTACAGTTAATATGAATGTATTTCATGCCACCAAGCTGTAGATTCAAAAACAGTTAAGACGGTAGGGTTTGTTATATATATATACACATATTACACAAGTTAAAAAGTAATTTTTACAACACATACAACATGACCCCAGCGATGTGAGGACACACATAAACAGACGTGTTTGTACGCACAGAGAGACACACACAGACATGTGGCTTAAAATTCTGAAAGAAATGCCCGGAAGGCTGACGTGGTCTTTGGGTGGGGAGATAGCGCAGCCCAGAGATAAGACCCCTCCCCCATGGCGTTGTTTCCCTGCTGGAGACTTGCTGTGATTTCCAAGTTTTCTAAAAGGGGCAGGCAGTCCTCTCACAGTGGACTGAAGTTATGAAATGTGCTTCTTTCCCTGCCCGTCCCACTTGGCCTTTCGGCCTCACTCCACACAATGGGGTCGTTCAGCCGCCCTGCCACGCTGCCACGCACTTGCGGCCGCGCCCTGGCTCCTCAGCCATCAGCCAGGACAGCGCTGCCCACGCCCTCGCCCGGCCTCCTTCCTCCTCCCCCAGGCCAGCGCCCCCACGGTTGTGCCCACCCATGCCCACGCATCCCTCAGTCCTCTGCAGGACGGTGGGCACCAGCCAGCGCCCTCCCCTCCTGAGGGTCAGTGCCGCACTTTGCTGTCCTCTCAGCTCTCAGTAAAGTAAGTGGAGTCGGTGGCATCCACCGGGTTTGTTACGCCGTATTCCCCCAATGCATAATTATGTCTCTACAAGGCACATTCTTGGCGCATGGCCATGCCTCTCTGCCAGAGCCCCAGACGTCTTCCTGCATTCCTGGGCCGTGACACCACCCCGCAGCCTGGTGTGAGTGCTCAGCCAGATGTGTGTGTGGAGCTGGCCACGGTGGCCCGGCTGGGCTTGGGGCAAGAGGGGCCCTGTCAGAGAGGACGTGGCTGCAGGGCTGAGGGGCTGCTTGTGTCTTGTGGCCAGTGGGAGGCCTGCTGGGAAGCTTCTGGCCCCCAAGCCCAGCCTTGACACGTCCAGCCCAGAGATAAGAACCTGCCCCTGTGATGCTCATGGACGGTGGCCTGAGGGTGGCCGTCCTATTTTCCTGTTCTGCAAAGGGAGGCCCTGCATGGTCTGAGGTCCAAGGACCCCTAGCGATCCCCGAGCGAGGGTGGCCAGTGGGACTGAGGCCAGGCCAGGCCCGGAGAGGACCCCACAGGCACAGGGGGCGTCTGCACGCAGGCCAGCACCTCCAAGTGCTGTGACCGCAGGAGCAGCCACCTGGCCAAGAACTGTCGGCCCATCCCAGGGCCTCTGAGCTCCTGGGATGTGGGAGAGGGGAGGCCTCTCTTCTGAAACCCACTGAGGGACAGGGACTCAATTGTCAGCGTGGCTCAAGATCCGTCACATCCAGTCCACATGTAATTTTCCTGAAGGCTGGATGAGAATTCCTAGTTCTCCCCTCACAGCTATGTGGCCCTGGGCGAGTGGCTCACCCTCCCTGTGCTATAGTTTCCTCCCTTGTGCAGTGAGGAATAATGGTGCAGCGAGGAATGATTGTGCAGCAAGGAAGGATCATGCAGCGAGGAAGGATCGTGCAGCGAGGAAGGATCGTGCAGCGAGGAAGGATCGTGCAGCGAGGAAGGATCGTGCAGCGAGGAAGGATGGTGCAGCGAGGAAGGATCGTGCTGTGAGGAAGGATCGTGCAGCAAGGAATCATCATGCAGTGAGGAAGGATCATGCAGCGAGGAAGGATCGTGCAGTGAGGACTGATCCTGCAGCGAGGACTGATCGTGCAGCGAGGAAGGATCGTGCAGTGAGGAAGGATCGTGCAGCAAGGAATCATCATGCAGCGAGGAAGGATCGTGCAGCGAGGAAGGATCGTGCAACCAGGAATGATCGTGCAGCGAGGAAGGATCCTGCAGCGAGGAAGGATCGTGCAGCGAGGAAGGATCGTGCAGCGAGGAATGATGGTGCAGTGATCATCTGCAGTGATCGTGCAGACCTCATCGAGCGCTTGTGCCACAGACATAACATGGGTGCCAGTGCACTCAGCACCAAGCGGGGCCTTCCAGTCACTCAGAGTCGTAATCCCGTTTGCCCGAACACAGTTCAGAGGCTGAGGGGTCTGGTCTGTCCTGAAGGCAGAGGCTGGGACCTGCCTGTGGCACTGTGAGCCTCCCTCTGCTTGTCCTCACCCAGAGCCCCGTCCCCCCTACGCCCACCAGTGCCCACACTGCCCTCGTCCTCCTCCCGAAGCAACAGCTTCGTCACTAAACTCCCCACTCAGAAAACTAGAGAGTGCCTCATCTTCTGAGGATGCTCAGAGCCACTGTTTAACTCGGGTGCAACTTTAAAATGTCATCTGTGTTTATCTCCAGGTGATGGGATTTTAGCTAACTTTAAAAAATTTTTCTAACCTTTCTTTCATAGCATACTGTATGCTGTTTGAAAATTACAAAGCCCTATTTTTAAATCCTTCTGCATCTTCCTCTCCCATCTCTCTTCATAGACCTTCTCTGCTCTGGTCAGCCAGGTCCAGTGGCCACTCCACCCCCTGCACTTGCCCTCAGCCCACTTCCTGTCCAGCACCCGTGCAACGCCCCCTCCCCGTCTGCACCCCACCTCCTGCACTTGCCCTCAGCCCATTTCCCGTCCAGCACCTGTGCAACACCCCCTCCCCGTCTGCCCCCCACCTCCTGCGCTTGCCCTCAGCCCATTTCCCGTCCAGCACCTGTGCAATGCCCCCTCCCCGTCTGCCCCCCACCTCCTGCACTTGCCCTCAGCCCATTTCCCGTCCAGCACCTGGGCAACGCCCCCTCCCTGTCTGCCCCCCACCTCCTGCGCTGGCCCTCAGCCCACTTCCTGTCCAGCACCTGTGTGTGACACTCCGTGCCCGTCTCCCCCCGCCCCCGAGCCTGCAGTGGTGTTGCTGGCACAGACCACCTGGAACGTTCCTCATTCTCAACGGCAGCTCCCAGAGGGGCAACAGGTGACAGTGAAGGAAGAAGACTCAGGCTGGGGATGAGCCGCATCCCAAGCTCCCCGGGATCCCCTCCTTTGAGACCTGGATATCATAAAGGCCACCTCGGGCCCTGAGTCCATATGTTGTCCCGAAGCTCCTGGACCCTGCCCCCAGCAGGAGCCCCAGGCTGGAATGGGGGCAGGATTTTACAAGTAGCTCTGTGTCCTGGGCAGCCCCATGAGGGCCCTCTCTCCAGAAGGAGAAGGGGACAGAGGGACCCCCATCCCAGCAGGGGCACCTTCCACTCCTGCGCCGACACCCCCCGCAGCCCTCACAGTCCCCTGTCCAGCAGCCAACCCAGTCAGGTTCCCAAAGCCCTCAGTGCAAGGGTCTAACCCAATACAGCAGTGAATGGTGCACGTGTGACCGTCCTGGGGCTGCTGGCACAAATGACCACAAACAAGGTGGCTTAAAACAACAGAATTGAACTGTCTCACAGCTCTGGAGCCCAGAGTCTGCGATCGAGGAGTTGCAGGACCGCGAGGTATCTGCCTGAGGGAGCTCCCCACGACCACTCTCGGGGGACCCTGCCCTGCCTCTTTCAGCTTCTGGTGGTTTGGACACTCCTGGCCTTTGGCCACAGTGCTGCAATCTCTGCCTCTGCCTTCACGTGGGTCTCGCCCTCTGTGTCTCTGTTTTCTTCTCGGAAAGACACCAGTCATACTGGATTAGGGCCTGTCCTCATGATGTCATCCTAACTTGATTATGTCTACAGAGACCCTGTTTCCAAATACGGCCACATTCACAGACCCCAGGGGATCAGACGCAAACATGTCTTTTCAGGGAGCACAGTTGTCATACATAATTTCATCCCATCACCATGTTGAATAGAAGATCCAGTGACTAGTGAGTTTTAATAAAATGAAACATCTGTAAAAGGTACAATTTAGGCAACTACAAACCCCTACCACTGGTGCAACGCTTTATTCTCTTGGATTTTTGGTCTTTAGTTGTAAACAATTAACAATTCTTAAGGTCGACTAAATTCTATTTTAAAGATCTTCAAAACTGGTTTCATGAATGAACTAAAATTTGCACTTACCAAATGAAAAATCACATCTCACAGTTTACACTGCCTCACTGTTTTCAATGTTAAGCACAAACAAAAGTGCTGAGGCCACAACAAAAGTCAGAAAGTTGAAATAAGTTGTTTCTTCGCTTTTCTCATCACAGTGCTGTCACTGTTTATTTCTGCGTGACTGTTTTGACACAGAAAACGTGGTAGGCAAGCCTGGTCCCCGGACCCGACCAAAGACAGGCCAAAGCTGGAAGAGGCGCCAAGGGCAGTTCCCGTTGCTCTCACTGCCTTGGCAACACCTGGAAGCAACTGCCCATCCTCCAGCTATATCTGAATAACCCGCCCCCTAATTAGCATGTCATTAAAAGTGGTTATACATATGATGGCAAGTTGGCCCCAAGCGGCTGCACTCTGCACACTGCCCGAGCGGCAGCCCTGCTCTGTGGGAGCAGTCGCGGAGCTGGACCACCTCCACTGCCGCCTCAGCCAAGCTGCTGGCTTCCCCACCACCTCGCTCCTGAGTCCCTTCCCGAGTGAAGCCGAGAAGCTGCCCAGCATCAGTGCCCCAGGGCTGAAGATGCAGGCTGCACCCAGAGCCAGTGCGAACGCTTCTGTTGCTTCGGATTTACTCCTAAAACCAGTGCACGTCGCTGAGCCCTGCTGGGCTGGGGCAGCAGCTCTGACTGGGAGTTCCACAAATAAACCCCCACGGAGAATGTCATGTTTACTGAACCCGGAAAGATGAAATCAGGTCTTCTAGCAAATTCAGATTTGCATTCAATCAAATTGAAATTAGGTCATTAGAGTGAGCCTAAGGCAGGGTCCCAGGCAGGAGGGGTGGGGGTCCTTCTTCTCAGACAGGACCTGCCTCCTTCTCAGACAGGACCTGGTCTCAGGGCCAAGCCTATGAGCTCCCTGCCCGTGCTGGCCACTCGGAGAGTCTCCGACACACACTGGTCAGCCCCTGCTCGCCAGCCTCTGAGTTAAACCCAGGAGAGACAGTGAAGGGAGCCACCCGGCTGTGGGTGGGGCTGGGAGGGAGGAAAGGCCCAAGGGAGCTGGTGGGGAGGGTGGGTGCGGGGACGTCTCTCACAGCACGCAGCTCCCTTTGCCCTCGTTTTCTGCCCATGAGGCCACTTTCCAACTCGCCAGGAATGGGGTACCCTTGGTAGGAGATGGCAGAGGTGTCCCAGAGCCAGGAGGGTGACAAGAATGAGCAATCGCAAGCTCAGATTCCCTTCTGTCTCCTGTGACTCGCGCTGTTTTGAACCCAAAGGCCCACAGACGGCTGTGACTGTGACCACATCTCCCAGAGTCACCTGGGTTCCAGGCCCAACCATGCGTTGGGAACCGGCGGCCACCCGTCCACTGTCATCAGTTCAGACTCAGCAGCCTCTTCACCCGGGATGAGCCAGGGCGTCGCGTCGGGGGCTCCTGGAGGGCTGCATGAGCCCCAGCCCAGTTCCGCTAAGAAGCTCCTCCTGGTCCCCACGCTCCAGTCTCTAGGCTGCGGGACTCAACCTTCAGGTGGCCAACGTACCCATGGTCGCGTGATCCTTTCCTCTCCCTGTGCAGGCAGACGGCACACGGACCTCGTGCAGGGCCATCACCGCCCAGAGGAGAGTCTGTGCCTCGCTGCTGACCGGGGGCCCTGAGGCATCGGGCGTCCTCCCATGCACCCCTCTCGCCCACGCCCGGGTCTGGAAGGTGAGCCCCCGCCTGGACCGGTGGATCCCTCCCCATCGCCCCTCTGATCTGCAGCCAGCACAGGGGGAGGCCCCTCCAGAGGGTGGAGGCACAATTGCCCAAGTCCAGCTGCCAAGAACAACAAGGAGAAGGGCGAGTGGGGTTCCCCTCCCCCGACTCTCCATCCCAGACCCCCCTCAAGGGCCAGGCGCATTCACAGGAGACAGGAAGCACCACATCTGATGTCTGCTGGGCCTGCTCACCGCTTCCCGGAACGTGCCCGCTATCTCATCAGGAAACACCAGGCCAAGCCTCTCCTGTCAGCCCTCTCCGAGTGGGAAGAGGCAGGAGCTCCTCTCTCAGGGCCGGGGCCCATGAGCAAAGTGCTTCCCTGGGGACCGTGGCGAGGAGCCCCCTTCTGGCCAGCTCGGCTGACCCTTCCTTCAAGTTTCTGCCTATGCCTCGATTCCTCCACTTCCAGCCTCCAACCCAGGACCCCATCAGCCCTCCCTGACAGTGTGATTTCTAAAACCCAGGACCCCGAGACGCCGATGACTTGTACTAGTGTAGTCAGGGTATGTCCTGCCTGTTTTCTTCGATTCCGTGTCAAATGCTGGTGCTGGCAGGTGTTGCACGGCCTCAAGTCATCCGCCCCCCTTGGCCTCCCAGAAGTACTGGGATTACAGGCGTGAGCCGCCGCACCCGGCCTCCCATATTCTTTTGCAACGACCATCCTCCTGGTGCCCTCGGCCCTGAGTAGGGAGGCTGGACTGGGAGCACAGGGAACCCTGGACTCAAGACAAGGAAGGACCACAGAGCTTGCAGGCAGGAAGTGGAGGGGAGGGTAGGTCCTGGACTGGGAGAACAGATTCCAGACCCCGGCCAGGAACCGGTGGGATTCCTGGGAATGGGGCCAGGGAGTGGACAGAAGTGAGCCTTGGTCTGCCTGGGGCCCGAGTGACCAGTAGCGACCCCAGCTCCCTCTCATCAAGAATGGGGAAACTGAGGCATAGACAGGCCACCCATAGCGCCCCAGGCAGAGGCCACCAAGACACGGCCGCTTTGCTGTACGTGGGGCTTTTCAGGCGAGGCCGGGTGCGTGCAGGAGATCAGAGGGGCGGAGCCCCGAGGAGACGGAGATCCAGAGGGGCGGGGCCCCGAGGAGACGGAGATCCAGAGGGGCGGGGCGCCGAGGAGACGGGGATCCAGAGGGGCGGGGCGCCGAGGAGACCGAGATCAGAGGGGCGGGGCGCCGAGGAGACGAGATCCAGAGGGGCGGGGCCCCGAGGAGACGGAACTCCAGAGGGGTGGGGCGCCGAGGAGACCGAGATCAGAGGGGTGGGGCGCCGAGGAGACGGAGATCCAGAGGGGCGGGGCGCCGAGGAGACTGGAATCAGAGGGGCGGGGCCCCGAGGAGAGGAGATCAGAGGGGCGGGGCGCCGAGGAGACGGG